>NC_000002.12:51099443-51402473 GCF_000001405.40 Homo sapiens
TGATGTCTCTTACTAATTCCATTGCACAGAGTTTATTCTAGCATTACTTTCTTGTTTATAACTTTCCTCTCCAACAGTGAGAAACCTGGCTTCCACCCACCACCTGCCATCCATTTAGTTATTTCTTCATCCTCAGTGTACATGAACAGTGGTTCCAGAAATGTTAACCTGTATTCCTGAGAGAAGCAATTTTGCCAACTAGAGTGTTTGTGTACAATTCTTGTTGTCTGTTGTTTCATACTTTCCAGTCAGAACATCTTTTTCCACATTACTTAGGTCATTCTTCTTTTTCTTTTCTTTTACTTTGTATAAAGTTTACTGTTTTTAATGTACAGTTCTGTGGGTTGGAGTCACTTGTTTATCACTCCAGAATCAGACCGAACAGTTCTTCACCCTAAAGTTCTCCTGTGTAGCTTCTTTGAATTGACTTCACTTATTTTGATCAATCGTTATCAGAAAACATCCACTGAGTGCTTAGATGGGTACACATATTTAGCTTTGTAATGCCAATTGGAAATACCACCCCCTAGTTCTCCATTATATATAAAAACGATAGATTTCTTATTATGATTAAAGGATTCTTTATGATCTGCTTTCTCACTCATTTGGTCTCATCTGCTTTCTGCTATAATAAATGACCGATCTTCTTTCAATAAGGAAGTTAGTCCCTCCTTTCTTAGTATTCACACAGCGCCTGAAACATACTTTTCTTCTAGCATTTGCTCCACTGAATTGTAACCATTTATGTGCATTTGTCTCCCTAACTTGAAAGTGAGTTCCTTCACAACAAATGCCTGATACTATGCATCTCTGTGTCTCCAGAACCTTCTTATATACCTGGAACTGGTGTATAAGTTCCAGGTATATAAGAAGCCCTTGACCATTGTTGTTTAGATAAAAAAGGACATGAGTGAAGTGATGTGCTTGATGCTAAGGGGTGCTGGGGAAAAATCAGATATGAAAGCTAAAGTAATATTTGAGTCCCTGTGTCTAAAATGTATAAGGTCTATGAAGGTGCAAACTGTCAATACCATTCAGTAATACTTAATGGCAAATGAGTTACTCCATAGGACATTTACGTTCTGTTATGACCTTTTACTCTTTGACAACAAGAAAGAGAGAGGAATCAATGTATTAGTGTTTCCTACATAACCTTATTTTCTATTAGACCCTTAAAAAGAGAAGTCATACAGACTATGTCAGGGCTTGGTAACAGGATTTTGTCTAAAATATAGACAAATTAGAGATAATTTTGCTCTAAGAAATATGACCCAGAAGGAAGAATGTTTTGATTTTCAAGTTTGATGAGATTTGATTTCCCTGAATAAGAGAAATAAATTGAACCAATAAAAGTTCATTTCGTTCATACTGAGTCTAATGAGAGAAGAAGACAATGAGAGAAAAAAAAATCCCTGCTTTATCATAACAACCTTGGGGAGGTAAGTCAGTGAGAAATAGGCCCACTTATGCAGATGGGAACTGGTGGAAGGCTTATCAAGTTCCAGGCTATTACTGCTGCAGTTGACTTGACTCTCAACCTCTCAGAATGACAATGAATCTAGATCTGTTATTCTGACTAAGCTCTTGCCCAACCCTTTCTCTCCTGCTTCAGATGTGGAACCCAGCCACCTATATCTTAAGTGGGAAAATTCCTGGAGACTGTTTGCTTAATACCATTTTTTGTTCACAAGGATCACAGTTTATAAATGTGTAGAATGAATGACCAAATCTGTTAATAAACATGTCTGTGTCCTGCAGAATTGAAGTATGCTGTTCTTAAATGTGGCTAGCTTGGAGAAGCCATTTGCATCAAAGATGCACACAAGATGTAAAACAAATGCTCATAGGAAAGATCATTTTAGGCTGGAGCATTCAGGAAGGTTTTAGAGAACAAGCCCATTTTTAGCTGATTCCTCAAGAGTAAGTGTAATTGTAATGAGTGAAACTTTTCTAGCAAAGAGAAACTGCTAGAGGTGAGATTATTAAGTATGTATGGGTCAGTGCCCACACTAGTTTAGGTAGAATAAGTAGGTTTGTAAGGAGAACAAGACATCGAATGACTTAAAATATCCTTCGAAAGTTGTAAGAAATATACAGGTAAAAATATAACTTGGTAAACAAACCTACAGAGAGGTGATCTCTGTAAAAGAAGCCACTATATTTATTATATTGGTGAACTAAATAACAGACTAGGAAAATGGATGTGGTGCTTCCTGAAAGATTCTTTGCTACTGACCTCAGTATTATAGATTCTGGGTAATATTTCTAGACTAACAAAAATAAAGCGGCTCCAAAAGCAAAGTCAGATCTCCTTCATTGACCAGAACAGATTGAACCTCTCTTCTTTTCTGAGTCTGTTCAAAAAAATTTTATATTTGGATAATCTGTAGGATGTAGGTGCATTCATGAATTCTTGCCTCAAAATCACAGTCTCTGCTAAGTCCATGGTTTCCCACAAAATGCTATTTTTTCTAACAACCTAGTGAAATAATTTAATTGTTCTTCACTTGACAGCTTCATTCATTCCAGTTTTTACTTTATGAGGCAATAACTGTTTCCTAGTAGCTTAATTTACTCAGCATGTTTTAGATGAACTATTTATTACTAAGTGTACAATATATTGGAAAAATTAAAAAATGCACATTTATTTTAAAATGTAACATGAAAATAAAACTCACCGCAGCATTTCCCTTCTAATAACTACCTCTCCAAATTATTTTTCAGTTCCTCAAATGTAGGAGGATTCTGTGTGTTATGTATCAAGTTGCATGTGTGTGTTCTGGGTTGTGTATTAAAGTCCTGGTAAATATAATTATGAATGCATCAAAGGCAATTAAGCTATGTGATTTTGATTAGGTATATTGTCAAACTGTATTAACAGCTGGCGGTAAGGGGGGAAAAATCCTTCAACCACTCAAGTTTTAATTTATAATACAACATTATTGCTATTCTCTGAAGCTGACAAATCATTTTGAATAAAGCATTATATTTCATTACATAAAACTCTATTCTTTTCTTGATACACAATGAGTTTGAACTAACATTGTGCACAGTGATGAATGCTGGCAGGCACAAGTGTATGGAGTTTTATAATTATTCTCATTATTATTTGCATAAACACAGAACACAACAACATAGACTCAGGCTTTCACATGATCCCAGTGCCTTGGCATCATTCAGAAACCAGTTTCCACCTTTTTAGCTCTGATTTCCTTTAGGCCATAATAACACTTGTTATTGGTGGAGGCAATTGCACTGCCAGCAGGTGGAAGAACACTTAGCAGAATGCCTGGCTCAAAAATAGGTACTTTCTGTATAGGGCTAAGGTGAGGGAATCAGTGGATAAACAGACTTTGACCTAGAATTAAAACTTAGGCTGGGTGTGTGGCTTACGCCTGTAATCCCACCACTTTGAGAGGTGGAGGTGGGAAGATAGCTTGAGCCCAGGAGTTCCAGACCAGACTGGGCAAAAGAGACAGACCCTGTCTCTACAAAAAGTTAAAAAAAAAAAAAAGCCAGGAGTGGTGGCGCCTGCCTAGAGTCCCAGCTACCTGTGAGGTGGGAAGATCCCTTTAGCCCAGGAGTTGAAGGCTGCCGTGAGCCAAGATCATGTCTCTGTACTTCATCCTGGGTGGCAGAGTGATACCCTGTCTCTAAAACAAACAAACAAACAACAACAAAAACAACAACAACAACTCAGAGTTGGTGCCTCAATCTCACCAACACTAGCTTTACAGGCTCTCTGAGGCTCTGTGATGGCTTTCTGACTACCTGACTGCAACCGGCTCCAGGACTACATTCTCCGCCCAGGCTACACCCAGCTCCCTGGCAAAACCCTCTTCCCTGAGGACACTCAATCCCTGACCACACTCTGCTGGCTGACTACACTCTGCTCTGCAGCCACAGAGTGCCCCCTGATGACCCCTGCACGCTGCTCCCTGACTGCATTCCACTCTGTGACTACAGCCATCAGCTGGCTGCATTCCACTTCTGGAGTACAACTGCCTCCCTGATGACACTGCGCCCTGATGACATTCAACTTCCTAACTACACATTTTTCCTCTGTCTATACCCAGCTTCCTGAACGCAACCAGCTCTGACTCCCTGATGACACTTTGATCCCCGACTGTTCCCCTTGTCCCTGACTACAGCCCTCTCCTGCCTGACTGCACCCTGCTCCCTGACCATACTGTAAGTTTTAATTACCCTCCTCTGGTTCCTGCTCCAGGAACACACCCCGCTAGCTCACTGCACTCCGCTAGCAACCACACTGTTTTCTTAGCCCACTCCACTTCCTGACTGTGTCAACGACATCCCCACTGCCTTCCTGGTTTGCCCCACCCAGGCTTACATTGTTGGCCCCCTTGGCTAACCTTTCTCTCAAACTGACCCTCAAACTACCTTCTCTTGTGTTTTTCTGTCACACCTGTAATATTGATACAATTCTCATTTTATCAAGGGCAGTGGCAGGCAGATAGCAAATATTTTCAGATGTATGGACCATAACATCTCTGTGGCAACTACTCAACTCAGGTTGTCACAGGAAAGCAGCCATAGGCAATATGAAAATAAATATGTATGGTTGAGTTCTAGTGGAACTTTTATAATATCAGGCAATGGGCAGGATTTGGCCATGGATTCTAGTTTGCCAACCCCTGATCTAGAGTGTCTTTTAAGCTCTGGTAGAAGACTTAGCACATCTTTACTACCATTTTACCATTTTACCTGAAAATTAACACTTTCTTATTATATTCTTCTTCAAAAGATGAAGGAATTGTCAGATATACAATTTGTACAGTTTCAAGAGAGGGAAAACATGGTAATCTTATAATTATCTAACAGAGCTCCTTTATTTTCAGATAATAAAAATGAACAGCTGCTAATTCACCAATCTATCCTTTTGTTTCCTAGGACAAACTTAAATTTATGTTGACAAAATTATTTTTCCTAGACTCTAGAAGAAAAAAACTTGAAACATACAACAGTTTGTATATGAGGACTCCCTTTTAGGTAACTAGTGACCGTGTATAAGGTCACTTAAAAGCCCCCAGCAAAGCTGCAATGGCTTTGTAATGCCTCTCTAACCCCTGGACAATACCTGCAATTCCACTGCTGATTATATCCCAATAAGAATGTTTTAGTTTCCACAAGGGAACCACTACTACAAGTTACCTAACTCTTTTTCTTTTGAGACATAGTCTTGCTGTCTCCCAGGGTGGAGTGCAGTGGCACCATCTCGGCTTGTTGAAACCTCCCTCTCCCAGGATCAAGTGATTCTTGTGCCTCAGCCTCCTGAGGAGCTGAGATTACAGGTGTGCACCACCACACCTGCCTAATTTTTGTATTTTTAGTACAGTTGGGTTTCACCATGATAGTCATGTTGGTCTTGAACTCCTGGCCTTAACTGATCTGGCTGCCTCAGCCTCCCAAAGTGCTGAGATTACAGGAGTGAACCACCACACTCAGCCATCTAACTTAATGTGTGTGTGTTTCACATCATTTTTGAATATAAGGTTTTGATGAATTAAATACAAAGAAAATATACAAACAAAGTTTCAAGTATATATGGACAAACTTTGCACTTCTGAGCAAGTACTCACATCAGATACAGCTTGTGAATAAACTTCTGGGTTTAAACTCCAGCTTCATTATTTTCCAGCTACAAAATCTTAAGCAATTTATTCAATTCTCTAAGCCTTAGTTTTCGTACCTCTGAAATGGAACAGTAAGAGTAATAAAAGGGCTGGATACATACGAAGGTTTCAACAAATCTAAGCTATTATAATTATCTTAATCTGGTGGATTATTAGCAACTGCCTCACAAAAGTTATATGTAAGTGTGGCACTCATATGATAATCACCCCTGGCACCTTCTGGGTAGTTCATAGTTTCAAAGTTTTCTCCTAAATTCATTCACATGTAATCACTGTACAGCCTCTGGGAGCAGGCCCCAGTATCAGATGAGGAAATTGAACCTTTGCAAATTTGGGTGATTTTCACCAGTCTATTCAGTTATTTAGTGGTGATAGCATGAATTCTTCTCAAAAGAAATAAGTGCATGAGAGAATCAGTTACCTAAAAGCTTTTGGGGGAAGTGCATCTCTCAAAATGCTTTACTTTTAGGCCAAGGGCCACTCAACCTCTGTTGTTTCTAATGTGAGCTGGAAAACTGGTGCTTTCTCCTGAGAAGATCAGCCTGGCACAGAAAAGCTCTACATTTCCAAAAACACTGCACATACTAAACTTTCAATGATTTTTGATTGATTGAGATAGAGTCCTATTCAGGTGCATATAACTAATACCACATTTTCTCTAAAGAAAATCATGATAAAGGAGTGAGAAGACAGGCCACAGTGGTGCTACCGACCTGATTTAGGTTAGAAAACAGTAAAGGGAAATATGACACAAAAAGACTGTTTCAGAGGCTAAAGAACAACAAAATACATTTACTACCTTACTTTTCATCCAAAATAGAAGACAATGAATTTTCCTTTACATAGTATATTGTTGTGGAATAGGAATAAGAACATGCTTGGCAGATGTCTGAGTGATGGCTATCAGCCATGGGAACTATTGGAAAAGAATAAAAGAACAAACGCTTCAGAAGGCAAAGTTAAAGCCTTATATTTCAAGAATCATAGAACCATAGTCCTGGCTAAAGGGCGGTTGAGTACAGTGGTGTGACCTGTGCTATTCACAATTCAAAGGAGTACAGTTAACCTATGTTTGCAGCTACCTGTCCAAGTTGGATTTTAGATATTTTTTCACTTTAATTATCAAGATATAATAATCTCTTATTACTTGAGCTAAGAACATTCTCTTCTTGAACAAAATTGGAATGCTTTAGTAAGGGAAGAAGGATAGTAGCTGTTGGGGAGGCAAATAGCAGTATCTGCCACACTTAGGGATACGTCTGAAACTAAAACTAGCCTCTGTTTCCTGGCAGGAGACAAGGTTTGAACACTGAGTCTGAGCCACATATTCTCTGGACATACTTTCTAATGTAGTTAAAAGTAGATATGGATCTGTCATTTAACCAGCATGCAACTTTAAAACCTTTATTTTTAAAGTAATAAAGAATGGGCAGAGGTGAAAAGAAAGCAAACAAAACAATGATTCTCTATTTAAATGAGATGGCTGAAAGGGATCGTAAAATAAAAAGGCTTGAAGAACCACTGGTTAGAATAAAAGAATGATAACATTTAATTTTCAAAACAGTGGAAGGACTATCTAGTTGTGGATGGATAAGGAGCATGCATTAAATGTTGGCCCAATAATTATTCTGTATAATATTAGACTATTTTATTACAACAGACCCTACAGAGACTAGATTCACTGAACAACAACATCTTATTTCAACAGGCATATCACTCTATTTTGCAGAGTAGGCCTGCTCCATGCATGGGTTTTTGTTCCATATTTGGGATTAGCAATATCTTAAGAGGTGCATACACATAGCCTTTTATTAGAGATCTAAGAGCTGCTGAGACACCCAAAGGGAATGAATTTAGAGTCTTCTATTTCGTTTGAATTACTCAATCTTTCAGATTTTTTTTCCAGGGAGAAAAAAGTCTCAAGTATAAATGGTGAGTTAAGCTCTTTCATATATCATAACTGTTTCAAGTAACCAAATCCTTTCTATTAAATTGCCTCTTTTGAGTTAAATTATTTTCACAAAATTGTGCACTTTTGGGTGCTTCATGGTGGAACTAGAGGATCCAAATTAAATGTGTTTAACTTGGAAACATTTCTATCTGTACAGCTCTTTGGTGCCTTCTTAACTATCCTTCAGTTTCTTTTATCCATTTATATCTACTTTTTCTTCATCTTGTTTTGTAAGAAGCAACCAAAACAAAAAAAAATGGGACTCAGTGTGATCTAGGGCAACTTATTTAGCATCTCAGAGATTCCATTTTCTTATCTGCCATTCTGAGGTAAGAGGTGCTTCACTGGTTTGAAAAGATGATTAGACAAGTCACCATATACAAAATATCTAGCAGACCCTGGAAGATGGTAGGTGCTCAATAACAGTTCATTTCTCAATTCCACCTCTTCTCTGCCCTCCACATCTATTTCTTTCCTTTTTTTCTTTGTAGATGCAAAGTGTCAAGTTATTCCTCCTATTTTTGGCAGACTCTATCTCTTCTTTCCTGGCTGTCTCTTTGCCCTTTCTTTTTACCCAGTTGCATCTTGAATACTATTGTTAAATTCAACAATGACCTGAGGGTTAAACTTAAAAAGTGATTAAGACTCATGAACAACCTCACATGGTAATATGGGAATTAAAACTTTCACAAAATTAGACTACCAGGAATGCATTCAAACCAATCCAGAGATAATGACTTGCTGGCAGGCAGTCGAGAATCCTCAGGAGGATCTTGATTCTCATGCTTATACTGGCTGGGTCAGTGTTATCCACACTTGGTGCAAACTTAGAGTGAAGGTCATTTTCTGCAAGAGGGAAGTGCCTGTGGCTATTCTAAATGAGAAATGTGAGGTTGTCATCCCTAAAGAGATGGAGAATATTTAGGGTTAGAATTATCTTAACATCTCCTCAACTAGGCTTATAGGGTTTAATGCAGGGATATATAACTCGTTTGATCTCAGCAGGACAAGCTTGTTGGAAGTATAACATCTGTTCAGCTAATGTTCTTCTCCCTAAGTCTCATTGCCTGATAGCTTGAAGTAAGACTTCACATTTTTAAGGGAGTGAACACAAAAATGAGCCCCTACATGCACGTGTGCACACACACACAGTCACACACACACACACAAACACACAGAATGCTGGTATTATATCCCTACCTTTTGCTACCTTTTGACATTATACAAGAAAATTCTCACTATCTGACAAGATTTACTGCCTCCCCATTTGACCTCTTTCGTCTTACTCACCAAAACAGTTTTCTTTTTATACATCCATTCATTCAATCAGTAAACAATTATTGGATTTTTTTTGATGCTTCAGGTGGTATGATAGGTAATAAAACTAAATAGGAAAATAGATACATTCTGTATAGTTTCATTCTTGTTGTAAAACTTACTATCCAGTAGCACATATGGCTATTAGACAAATAATTACACAAAGGTAACCATTATTTTGTCGGTACAGCATACCTCTAGATTGTGTCCTTGTCACACACATGTACCTTTTTCTAGTAATAGGCTCTGCCCCCTAGGTGAGTGGCCGTGTCTCTCAGACTGGGTCAATTACAGCACAGTACTCCATTTCTCTAGCTTCAGTGATTGGTACAAGTTCTGGCATGTGATTCTAACCGACCCAAAAGAATCCTTCCTCTGAACTTTTCTATGTGGACTGGGAAAGAGCATAGAATCTTCTAGCCCTCATGATGCTCACCAGATAAAGAAAGTTCATTTGCTTTGATTAAGAGAAAATAAAGCCAAGCAGAGGCAGGCATAAATGAACTACAAATGGTAAAGAGAGAAATGAAATCCTACTAGGTTTATCCTTGCTTCCAGAACTCAAAGCCCCAGGAGGTGACCTGGTTTCTACATTGTCTCTTTAGATTTTGGAATATGCATAGATATTGTGCAATACTCACACTGTATAATTTCATTTTAATTAGATTTCTGCCACTTGTAATTACAAATATTGCTATTAGTGAAAAATGAATATAGCTTTGTGATTATAAATTGCGGTACATGCTTTAAAGGAGGTGTATAATCAGCAGAATGTAAAACAGGGGGACATTTTATCTAAGGGAGCAGGGTAAACTGAGGAAGTGACTTTAAGCTAAAATCTGAAGGGTGAGTTTCTGTTGAACAGGGAAGAAGTAAGGAGAAGGAAAAAGCAAGTCAAAGGGTCTGGTGGCAGGAATAAGATGGGCAGAGTGTTTGAGTTCCCAAGCAAAGGTCAGGGTGGCCGAAACACTCATCTGCAGACCCTGATGAGCAAAGATCAAAGCACACAGAGTCTTGGGAGCCTCTTTTTCTGACAAGGGATATACACATTAAACACTTCCTTATGTCTGTATTACAAACTTTATTGGAGGGCAATTTTTACCAAACTTACAAGGAAGCAAAGTGACTCTATAACTATAAAATAAATATAAATAAACTAAAAGAAACGTAAAAAAACCAATAGTATAGAGTGGACTTTTGTTCTGTGTATACAGCCATCAGAGCAGAAGGGAGGATCCTTATGCACCACAACATTTCATTAGGATAGGAGATTCCATCCCTTTGGAAAATAAGGTATTACCTTTGCTGAATTTAGTTTGCAAATACAAATCTTTGACCAGTATCTATGGCATTCCTGAAGAGATTGTTTCAGAAGAAAAGTATGCTTATGCTTTTTAAAGTTTGAAAGAAAGATGAGAAGGCAAAAGGGGAAAATAAATTATAGGACGTTCCAGCTTAATATGCTTAAGTATGTTTTCAATACATAAAGATTTTTCTCTTTAAATTCTAGGGTCATATGGGCATAGTAATACACCAGAGGGAACAGACATTAGTAGTAATTTAATGGGCATAGATATATCTAGAAAGAAAAATAAACATTAACCAACAGCATTATATAAAATTTTAAGACAAAATCATAAACCCAAGCCCACTTACTGCATTTTATTGCCTCACAAAAGTCATCATTGCTTATAAAAATACAGCTTCATATAAAGGCCACAGTCATTTAAAGAATAATTTACCAATAGCTTGCAGAAAAGAAAATTTTAAAACATTTATGGCAATAATATTTCATTAGAAGTTATAGCGATGCCATCATTTTAAGGTACAGGAAATCTTGTTCATTCTGGCTCAAGTCTATTTCCATCAGTGAGAAATGACTGACTAGCTCAGCCTCAAGACCAGCTGCATGTTGAATTAAGGAACCCTTTCAATTATTACTGTTATGCATATTCCTAACACAGCTTATTAACTGCATATTTCTAGGTTTGATGTCTATATTTGGTACTGAAATCTCCCTTATGAAACATTACCTTTAGTAAAGTAAATTAACATTTCACTAAACAATAGTTGTTAGAATTGTTCCAGTCCATTTTCCTCAATTATTTATAAAGTGAATTTTTAAAGTCACTTAAGGGATGGAAGAATCAAGGAAACTTAGGTTTGGTTAAGGCAAAAAGAAATGGAACAAAAAGGGCAAAACATGCTGCTAGGGAAGGTGGCTTGCTTCCTTTGAAGTCTTCATGAATATTGCTTAGTAATGCTAATTCAGAACAATCATTAGCATTAAAAAGCTTTAATTAAATGTTTAGTCCCTTGTGCTGGGTACTACATCAATTTCACATTTTGTAGGTTATGCCCCCTGAATTACTTGTAGTTGAAGATGGCTAGTCTTCTGAGTGGTCTACAAGGCTCTTAATCTTCTAGCCCCTGCCTAATTCTCCAATCTCATCCTTACCAATCTCTTCGCCAATTATTCTCAGGCCATGGCTAATTACTTTCAGATTCTCAAATACTCCAAGCCTCTTTTCCCCTCAGGGCTTCCAAAACATTGTTTCTAGCGTATAACACCTTCCTCTCTCTGGTCTTCTTTTGCTTAACTCCTGCTCTCCCTCGCAAACTCACATTATGTTTTTCAGGAAGCCTTATGTGATCTCACTAGGTTAAGTTATACATCACTTCTCTATATAATCTACTGGCAATTTGTGCGTACCTCTAACATAGCCTTTAGTAGTATAATTGAACATTTTATGTTTAAATCCTCTAGTGCCTAATATAATGCATATAATAAATACCCACTAAATATTCATTGAGTAAACAGTAAACAAAATAAAATAAATGAGACCTAAGTGAAAAGCTATGAACCAAAAAGATATTTGTACTTTTGTTTTTTTTTTAAATTTTGGTATCTTTTAAAAGCTCTTTGTTTCATAAATCCTTTCAACATAATTCACTTGGCACTAAACTATACATATTTAATTTATCTTTAATATTACCTGAAAAATCTATATTTAACATTAATTTTTCTCTAAAATATGCAATTCTAAAATGGCACTGTACCCACAACTGATAATACTGTCTTGATGATGCTAATTTAGACCAAATGAACAATTCATTTTGGAAAAATGTCAGACCACCCCATAACTTCTCAATTAATTGTCTATGTTATATATTATTCACAACAGATTCTACCTAGAATCCTAAAATTTTGATTTGGAGAACGCCTAGGGGGATCTAGTTTGGGCAGAACTTGCAGTTCAAGTCCATTTAGTCATCCGCTTTAACACACAAGATCATTTTCAGACTCAAAATCTCATAGCATAGCTTAGCTCAGTGGCAAGAGGGTAGAACAAACATGGGAAACTGCATATGCGCATGCAAGGCATCAAATGTGTGTTCAGTCTATCCTCCTCCCTTCAGGCTGACTTTATTTAAATTGCCCAAGAAAAGCTGGTGCTGATTCTACTTCCCAGTTCTCTTCAACATTCAATAACTGAACTACTATATTTGTTAGAAAAATAGTAAACTTCTGCATCTTGGCAACAGTTAACATTTACTAAATTAGACTTTTATCATAGTTTCTCTACCGTTTTTTCTGTTTTTACTCTCATGGTTGATTCCTTTTTTCCAGTTTTCTAATTGCTACTTATTAATTGAATCAAAGGAGAAGTTAGTAAGACTAAAAGGTTTCAGTTTAGTAAAATTCAGCACTATTTTGAGTTTCTGCACAAGTCTGAGAAAATTATTATTTAAAAATAATTGTAAGAATAATTATAAGTATAAAAAATCACTAGTAAGTAAGCACTACTCTTTAATTCTACTTTTCATGTGAATCACTGAGACTCGATTTAAGGGTTACTTTTTCACTTAGAAAGATGCAGGGATTTTTAGGTATTTATAGGGGTCATGACTTGTGAAATGTAATGTAAAATGATGCTATACGACTTTGATAGAGATTACTCAAGTGGTACAGTGATAATGGATTGGGATAGTATAACAAATATTGATGAAGGCAACTTTTCTTTAAATTAGGTAATAGAAAATCAACATTGAAGTCATGGAGGTTTAGTCCTTTGTTAAGTTTGAACATTGGTTTTCTTGGATAAAAAGGAGAAAATAATACTGTGCAATTGGGTATTAGCATAAATTATAATATATGAAGCCCTTAATCAGTGCCTGGAATATATGCTTCATATATAGCAGCTATTATTTTTATTGAAATCTTAAGGCAGTATTTATTAAGTGTGTATTACTAGGCTACCTGCAATATAATAGCTTACTGATCTTTGAAAATTATTCCTGAGTCACAACACAAAGATCCCAAATCAGAGTTTTAGGAAGTTAGACCTAAGACTTTGAATTATTAGGAAAGATCCTGAGTGATTTTTATTTATGTTATATCTGAGCCTTAGATACTACAACTGAAAAATACAACTCAGTTTTGTTAAGATAAATAGAATGTATTTGGTCACAAGCATACTACATAGCATCTGAACTTTCTCCGTACTTTTGTGAGATTATGCCTACCATTTTATATAGCCTCACAATATTCTAATTAATATAGCCGTTTATGTGTTCAGGAAGACATACTGTAGACTAACCTTTTCTGTGCTAATAAATTGCACTGTGTGCACTTACATAATATTATAATAATTTTTAAAAATTATTATAAGGTGATTTAATATAGTAGCCTATAATATGCCTGAGTTAAACTTCAAAAAAAAAAAGCTTTGTTAGAGGTTTTTGGCTTGTAATTTGTATGTTTCCAAGGTGTAATTTTAGCCTATATACCCTGTACAACTGTTCCAGGTACTATAAAGTACAAACTCTTCAGTATAATATCTGCTAAATATTTTAGACTGCTCTTTTCTGAGACCCAGGAGGCATCATATAACAGAGGTGTCATCTGGAGTAGTTAATAGCTATCTATCTTGTGGCAGTGAAAGTCTTTGTCACCTCATTGGGTGGGAGGATCTCAATTGTGAGAATTACACAGAATTATCCAACATTTTATAAACCCTTCCATAATGAAATTTACAAAGCAATTATCCGTTAGCACATCTGCACTGGCACTGGAAAAATAAACAGTTAACATTAATGAAATTGTAAGCATTGATTAATCATTCCTTTTGGAGTCATATTTGGTTTTAATAGACAAGAAGAGGTCTGCTATCACTGAATTTAATAAAAGGCTCCTCCCATGCTGGTTTTACTATTATTATAATTATTAATTTTCACACCTGTGATTGTTTGCATCAGCTAACTTCACCTTCAACTGACTGAGTCCGTAGAGGCAATTGCATCTAGAAGTGCTAAGCTGAATGTACAATTAGCCTATTGTCTGAAAACTGCAGTGCACAGATCATACGTTAATACAAAGAAATCTGGATGTTTCTCTCCTAATGCTCATCAAGCCTTAAAGGTCAGTAGGGAGTTCAGGAAGTTTCTAACACCATCCCTTTCTCTTCAATTAACTTCAGTTCTAAAGTATACAAGGGGATCTAGAGTATTAATTTTAAAGACATTCTAAGTGAAATGGAGTTTTATTAAGTCAAACACAAATCAGATTCATCTCAACCTATTTCCAGCCAAGCAGAATGATTCAAGAAGTTAAGCGTCCCAGCTTTTGGTCATGCTGCAATATCACTAGTGATTTTTAAACAGAAATGTTTTGATCTAAAAGTGATTTTTAAGATTATTTCAAACACTTCAATTAAACTGACCTTTGCTGAACATTTATGTATTATATTTTTGACTTTACACATGAGTAAATGTTGAAATCCGGGAAGAATTATTTGTCCAAAGTCTCATAATAAAAACCCCACAGTCCGGATTCTTAGCTAGTATCCTTCTAAACCATGCATTTGCCTTTACAAAACTTATGAAAGACATAGATGAATGTTTCTAATGTGCCTGTACATTATAGAATATCAGAAAGGCTTTTTGAAGTTTTCTTCTATTAGTTTTAGTCTTTGCACAGATTTATTGTTGGATTTCAATGATCTGTCGGGAAATTCTATGGATGGGATTCCCTGGTAGCACCCCAGGGCTGCACAACGCCTGTGATTTCTTCTGGAAATGTTCTGGGTTCAACATTAACTCTTGTTGTCATGAGATTTAGGACTTTTATATGTACATTTTATATTATATTGTCAAAAAATCATAGGAGAATATGAAAGTTAAGGTGAGAATGATAAAATATAAGTTACAAATAGGACTTCAAAAATATTTTGTTGTGGAAGAAAAATGTATGACAGTTGAGGGCCAGTTGTTAACCTCGACATATTTCTGCAAAAGTCTGAGAACTCTTATTATTATATTTCCTTTTTAGGATAAGACGTTGTAATCAGAAAATACATCTCATAATACAAAGTTTAAAATCTGTGGTTACTATTGATCTGCACATGGTGGTACACACCTATAATCCCAGCTGCTTGGGAAGCTGACGAATGAGGATTGCTTGAACCTAGAAGTTCAAGAGTAGCCTGGTCAACAAAGGGCAATCCTGTCTCAAAACAACAACAACAAAATGTATATTATTAACTAGTTTATTCATACATAGGGATTAATACGATCAATATTAGCTATAGGAAACGTTGGGTAAAGTGACCTCAGGGGTTGGTACTTGGAAAAGATGTGTTGTATTAAAAAAAATCTGAAACAATGTAAATGTTAGAAAAAGGCTCATCATTTTAGGGACTCCTAAGTGTTTTGAAAGTTGTTAAGGGTTAAGAGATAAAAGGCAAAGAGATAGATGAAGCTTTCTCCAGAGTCAGCTTTCTCTAGAGTCAATCATGAATGCACTCATGGAAATAGGGTTGTGATTCTAAAATAGTTCTGGGAACTAAAATGGCATATACTCTGCCATGATTTCCAATTAAGTCAAGTAAGTCATGGGATTTATACTGCTTATCCAAAGAAAGAGGAATATCCATTTTCCATATTCCATTGAAAGTCTGTTTTTCTCTTTTATTTCCAAGGTTGGTTGATATTAGGTGGCCAGTCTGTTCAAAACACTGAAAGGCATTGTAATTCCTCAGGTTTTTCAACCCATTTTCACTTGCCACTAAAATACACATAAACATAAGTTCTAAAACAGTTCCCCATTCCGTTCAACCCCACCTCACCCCATGTCTTTGGTCTCATTCAATATAAAAGCCATATGCCTTACGGTAGCTGACAAGGCCCTATATGATTGGTAGATCCATGCCTACTTCTTTCACCTCATCCCATTACCGCTCTGCCAAATTGTTCATGGTAATTCGTATAATTGCCTTTTTTTTCTCAATCACACTATGCACATTCTTGCTTTAGGGCTTCTGCACTGGGGTTCTCTTCCATTTGGCCTTAAGAGGCAAAAGAGTGTGGTAGACAAGAGCATGTGTTATTGATGCAGGGAATCTGGGTTTGTATCCTGGCTCAGCTACTCACTTTTTACCACAACTTGGCAGTTTATTGAATCTACTTAAGCTTCAAATTTTTCTGTAAATAATTCCTACTTCATAGGATTACTGGGGCTTTGGGGAGGGTAATTGGATGACTATGTATAATATACTTGGAACAGCAACCAGCACATATTAACAATGTGATAAATGATAGCTGTCACTATTTTTATGATTGTTCTTACTATTATTATTATTGGCATTTACATAAAGTCTAGTTCCTTCCTGTCATTTGTGTCTCAGCTTAAATGTCACTTTTAATATAGACTTTCCCTTAACACCCAATTTAAAGTGCCCCCTGTTACTTTCTACATATCAACATGTTTTACAGTCTTCATGGGACTTATCATTACCTGATGCTTCCTATTGACTTACTTACTGTTACCACATATACATCCATGAAAACTCTGTGACAGCAAAGATCTTGTCATTTGTTCCACTGCTGAAACTGCCAGGCATAGTATTAATATGCACCTGTCATATTTATCTGCTCAATAAATATTTGTAGAATGAATGAACTATGTGCCTTACCCCTGAACAGTGTCCAACATTTAATAAGATTCTATATATTAATAAGATATATTCCATATAATAATATAATTCCATATATTAATAAGATCCATGGATTGGATTGAATTCAACCCAATCAATCTATGGATTGGGTTGAATTGTAATTCTGTAAATTAACCACTCTTTCCAACTTAGCCTTATCCACACAATCTTGGGGATACAGAAGCCATTTGTACTTCTTAAGACTGTACATTTCTTATACAATTTCCTCTGACTCCTTTTCAGTATTTCTGTTTTCTACAGAGAAAGGAGCATGGATTTAAAGTCAGTCAGACCTTTACCATATTACCCAGGATTCCTACTTCTGGGTATTGATCCAAAATAATTGAAATGAAGATCTTGAAGAGATTAGCACTGTTATATTCACTGAACCACTATTCAGAATAGCCCAGATGTAGGAACAACATAAATGTCCATCGACATATAAATCGTTAAGGAAAATGTCATATATACATACAATGGAACATTTTTCTGGCTCGGAAAAGAAGGAAATCCTGCAATATGCAACAACGTGAATGAACCTGGAGAACATTATACTAAGCAAAATAAACCACTCACAAAAAGATAAATACTACCTGATTCCACTTTATGTGATGTTTCTAAAATAGCCAAACTCATAGAACCAGCGAGTAGACTGGTGATTGTCAGAGACTGGCTGTGGGGGAAGAGAAAGTGGGAAATTGCCAATCAGTGGGCATAAACTTTCAAATATGGAATATAACTAAGTTCCAGAGATCTGCTCTACAATATTGTACCTATAGCTAACAATATTTTATAGTACATTTAAAAATGTGTTTAGAGGATAGATCTCATGTTAAATGTTATGCTACAATAAAACATTTAGAAAAAAAGAAATTTGCACTAAAGTTTATCTTCGAGGAATTCAGACACAATCATTTCAGGGGTGGAGCAGATGGGGATGATGACACAAAAGTCCATGATGAAGGTCAAGTAGAGGCGAATGTCACTGAAGAAAGGGAAGGACATTGGGACTGAGGGCCTAGAGTCGCAAGTGATTCATTTTTAGGAAAGGTAGACATCTTGTAACACTTTGACCATCTTATACAAGTTGTAGACTCTTCACCTGTGATGCCATACTCACTCATTCCCATATGATGGAAAGAATTCTGAACTTTCTAGACCACTGGGTCCCTGATCTCTAGGATACTGGATGACTGTTTGGCTGATCTCACCATGCTGAAGGTGGGGCTTGGAGGAAGACACTGAAGTATGGGTCAAAGTCCTTGATAAAGGCAAAACAGTGATGAGGAGGTAAAGTAATAAGGACGCAGAGGAGACTATGACCAGGGCCTCAGGGCTAAGACTTCAGGATACTTAACCAGCCTCAGAGTGTGGAATGGAACATGAAGTTTATCTGCTGGAATTGCAAAGAATACGGTCATTCCTGCTTGATTCATTTACAGTGGCCATTTCATGGTCTTTGGGAATTGCATAGAAAGATGTGAGACACAAAGAAGATCCCAGGGTTTCTTTCCCACAGATGCTGCTTTCCCTCTCAATCCAAGTAGCTGTTCAGTGGGACCTGACCAATAGCTCAGCAAAGCAAACCTTGGCCATTCACCAGTGACTCACAGGAGCAGAACACAGAGCACCACTTTTCCATTTACCTGATCACAGAAAACAGGGAAATAAGCTCTTGTCAGTGAATGGAGAGCATCAGTGTCCATTACTCATCTGCTTGAATTTCCCTGCTGTATTGGTGATAGACTCTCTGTCTGAGGGCTTGGAGGGGCCAAGAGCTAAAACAGACAAAAAGGCAAGCCAGGGAATCTGTGGGCATCACTGAGCCAGAACTGGATGAGCATATTTGGAAGATTCTGAAGAACTCAGCCAAAAAGCCAAAATGAGAAAGTACTTGGTTTCATGTCTTGTCTCAAGAGAATGTTGAGCATCCAAGGATGGGGTCATAAACCACCACAGCTGGTTCAGGTGCTTTCATGGGAGTCCCTCTGCTTGCCACCACTACTTAGGGCTACTGCTTTGCACGTGCCTCACAATCATGCTATATCCTTCTGTATTATGGTTACCTGTTGACCAGTTGATTTCCTTATTAGACTCTGATTTACATATGAGGAATATATTTAATGTCAGTCAGACTTGGGTTCAAATTTACATATTAATTTGGGAACTTAGGCAATTTATCTAAAGTATTTGTGCAACCTCTCTAGGTCTCATTTTCTACATCTAAAAAATTGGAATAATAAGAGTGACCATAAAAATTAAGAATAAAGATTTATATTAAGTATTCTACAAATTGATGATTATAAATAATAAAAATCATTATAATAAATATTGTTTCAAAATAGGTATTTTAGAAAGGTCCTTTTAGGATGAAACAGAATAGTTTAAAAATCACTTTTCCTAATTAAATTCACTACTTTTTCATTAGCTGCCTAGATCCTTGTCTAATAAATTTGTTTCCACCTAGCCAACTTCATTATTATATGTGAGAGAGTGTGGTTACTCATTCTAATAGAAGTCTACTATCTATACTTATCATCTTTTTTTTTTTTTTTTTTTTTTTGAGACAGAGTCTCACTCTCTTGCCCAGGCTGGAGTGCAGTGGTGCGATCTCGGCTCATTGCAAGCTCCACCTCCTGGGTTCACGCCGTTCTCCTGCCTCAGCCTCCTGAGTAACTAGGACTACAGGCGCCCGCCACCAAGCCTGGCTAATTTTTTTTTTTTTTTTGTATTTTTAGTAGAGATGGGGTTTCACCATGTTAGCTAGGATGGTCTCAATCTCCTGACCTCATGAACCACCCACCTTGGCCTCCCAAAGTGCTAGGGTTACAGCCGTGAGCCACCGCGCCCAGCCTATACTTATCCTTTTTTATCTTCAAACTATCATTTACCTCTTTTGGTTTTTGTTAAAAAATATGTTCCTTAAGTGTGCCATATCCTCTTCTTCTTGATGGACTTTGCACATGGATTTCTCTAAATTGGGCAGCCTCCAATTCTCTGCCAACACTCCACCTTGGTAACTTTTGTTCATCCTTCATAACTCAGTGACATTTTCACCTATCCGAGAAAGGTTGCCTGTCCTTCCAGGCCAGGTCTGCCTGTTGTATGCTCTTGTGGGATCCTTTACTTTTCTTTCACAGACTGTTCAGTTTGCAATTGCTTTATGTCTTACTGACTAAAATCAATGTCTAGCTCCTTCCACTCTGTAAGTCCATGAGGGCAGAGGCCATAGATGATTTGCTCAGCACACTGCATGGCACATATGAGGAAGAAGATAGTAAATTGTTTGTTGTATAAATGAAAAAAAAAAGAACAGATTGTTCTGAATTGCATTTCTGCAAATTTCTGATCATTGTTCCCATTTTAGCACCATTATTTTCTTAGTATTGTTTTAGTTGAAAACAGAGAATAAGAAAAAGGTTTGCATGCAAACAAAGTTGACCCTTGGACAACAGAGGTGTTTAGGTGCATTGACTCCCTACACAGTCAAAAATCTGTGTATAAAATGTGACTCCCAAAAAACTTAAATATGACTATCCTGCTATTGACTGGAAGCCTTACCAATAACAAACTGTGGATTAACACGTATTTTGTATGTGTACTATATACTGTATTCTTACAATAAAGTAAGCTAGAGAAATAAAAATGTTAAGAATATATAAGGAAGAGAAAATATACTTGCTCTTTATTAAGTGGAAGTGAATCATCCTAAAGTCTTCATCCTCATCATCCTTGAGTTGAGTAGAATGAAGAGAAGGAGGAAGACAAGGGGTTGGTGTTGCTGTCTCAGGGGTGGTGGTTTATCTGTGAGTTTTTTTTTTTCAGATTGCCATGAATCTCCAAAAAAGTTTCTAATATATTCATTGAAAAGAATCTGCATGTAAGTGGGCCCTCTGAAGTTCAAATCCAAGTTGTTCAAGGATCAGCTGCAGTTATCTGTGATTATGAGCCTCAGGAGCACGTCAGAAGGTTAGAAAGTGTGAACAGTGGTATGGCTTGGATATTTGTCCCCCATATCTCATTTTGAAAGGTAATTCCCAGTGTTGGAGGTGGGGCCTGGTGGGAGGTGTTTGGGTCTTGGGGTAATCCCTCATGGCTTGGTGCTGTCCTCATGATAGTTAGTGAGTTCTCACAAGATCTGGTTGTTTAAAAGTGTGTGGCATCTCCCCAGCACTCTCTCTTGCTCCTGCTTTCACCAGGTGACATGTCTGCTTCTGCTTCACCTTGCACCATGAGTAATAGCTCGCTGAGGCTTCCTAGGAAGCTGAGCAGATTCTAGTGCCATGCTTCCTGTACAGCCTGCAGAACCTTGAGCCAATTGAACCTTTTTTCTTTATAAATTACCCAGTCTTGGGTATTTCTTTAGTGCAACACAAGAACAGCCTAACACAGAAAATTGGTACCTGGACTGAGGCCCAGGACAGAAGGCTCTACAACAGTTGCAGGCTACTGTATGTGCAAGCTGCTCTGCCACTTGAGTCATATGACTCAGCAGAGCCAATGGTGCTTGAAATGTCAGTGGCAGATAGGGTTATTGTTTGGAGCCTTTGGCTGGCCCACACAGATGAATCACAGTGGAGACCTTTACGATTTTGGAGAAAGGCCCTACCATCTTCTACTTATAACCACTCTCCTATTGGTAGACATCTTTTGGCCTGTTACTGGGCCTTGGTAGAAACTGAATGTTGGACTATGAGTCACCAAGTTACCATGAGACCTGAACTGCCTATCATGAACTGGGTGCTTTCTGACTCATATAGCCATAAAGTTGGACATCCACAGCAGCACTCCATCATCAAATGGAAGTGGTATATACGTGATTGGGCTTGAGCATGTCCTGAAGGTATGAGTAAGTTACATGAGGAGGTGGCCCAAATGCCCACGGCCCCCACTCCTGCTATGCTGATTTCTCTCTCCCAGGCTGTACTTATCACCTCACTGGGACCTCCCTATGACAGAGGAAGAAAAGACTAGGGCTTGGTTTACAGATTGTTCTGCACGTTATGTAGGCGCTACCAGAAAGTAGACAGCTGCAGCATTATAGCCCCTTTCTGGGACATCCTTGAAGGACACTGGTGAAGGAAAATCTTGCCAGTGGCCAGAATTTCAAGAAGTGCGCCTGGTTGTGCATTTTTCTTGGAAGGAAAAATGGCCAGACATGCAATTATGTACTGATTCACACACTGTAGCCAATGTTTGATCAGGGATTTGGAAGGAGCATGGGTGGAAACTTGCTGACAAAGAAATTTGGGGAAGAGTTATGTAGATGCACCTCTCCGAGTGGTCAAAAAATGTGAAGATATTTGTGTCCCACGTGAATGTTCACTAAAGAGTGACCTCAGCAGAGGAGAATTTTAATAATTAAGTGTATAGGATGACCTGTTCTGTGGACACCATTCAGCCTCCTTCCCCAGCCACCCT
Organism: Homo sapiens; assembly: GCF_000001405.40. Taxonomy (NCBI): domain Eukaryota; kingdom Metazoa; phylum Chordata; class Mammalia; order Primates; family Hominidae; genus Homo; species Homo sapiens. Next base: position 51,121,781 of record NC_000002.12, read on the forward strand.
GTCATCACCCAATGAGCTTATGAACAAAGTAGACATGGTGGCAGGGATGGAGGTTATGCATGGGCTCGGCAACATGGACTTCCATTCAGCAAAGCTGACCTGATTATGACTACGGTTGAGTGTCCAATCTGCCAGCAGCAGAGACCAACACTGAGTTCTCAATGTGAACCATTTCTGGATTAATCAGCCAGCTACATAGTGTCTGCTTGATTACATTGGACCACTTTCATCACGGAAGGGACAGTGGTTTGGCCTTACCGGAATAGACACTTACTTACTCCAGATTTGGATTTGCCTTTCCTAGCATGCAATGTTTCTACCAAGCATGCAATGTTTCTACCAAGACTACCATCTATGGACTCAAAAAAATGCCTTATCTTCCACCATGGTATTCCACATAGCATTACTTCTGACCAAGAAACTCACTTCAGAGCCAAAAAATTACAGCAATGGGCTCATGCTCATGGTATTTTCACTGGTCTAACTATGTTCCCCATCATTATGAAGCAGCTGGCTTTACAGACAAGTGAAATGGCCTTTTGAAGTTACAGTTACAAAGCCAACTAGTTTATAATATTTTGTAGGCTGGGGCAAAGTTCTCCAGAAGGCTCCATATGCTATGAATCAGCAGCCAATATATGGTACTGTTTCTCCCATAGCCAAATTCATGAGTCCAAGAATCAAGGGGTGGAAGTAGAAGTGGCACCACTCATCATCTTTACTTCTAAAGTAAAGAAAATACAAGTGTCTACCTAGACACATATCCAGTAAAAGATCTTTCAAAAATGAAGATAAAATTAAGACTTTTAAAGACATTTAAGTCTGAAAAAATTTATCACCAGCAGACTGACATTACCAGAAATGTCAAAAGAAACTCTTCAGGAGGAAGAGAATGATACAAGGTACAATTGTGAATGTATACCAAGATATGAAGAATGCTGAAAATGGTAATTAAACCCTCTTTCTTATTATTTAAAGATAGTTTAAATATAATTCGATTTTAATGCAAAAGAGTAACAGTGTAGTATGAAATGAATGAATATATACTGTTGCAAGGTTCTTACAGAATACATGGAATGGTATAATAATACTCGAAGGTAAACTATTGTAAGTTACGTATTTATATTATAAATCCTAAAGCCACCATAAAATAACAAAACACACAGATAAGAAATAAGCCCACAAAGGAGATTTAAAAAGTAAAACACACTCAGTTGAGGAAAATAAGGCAGAGAGATGAACAAGAGAACAAAAAACAGAGAGGGCTAATATAAAACAAATAACTGGCACATTTCAACCTAACCATATTAATAATCAGATTAGACATAAATGGTCTAAACACACTTTAAAATGCAGAGATTACCAAAGAGGATAAAATAGCCAATTAAAATCCCAACATTCTTTTTTGTAAAAAAATGGCATACTGATTCTAAAATACATATTGATAGGCAAAAGATCTAAACTATGTAAATCAGCTTTGGAAAAGAACAGAGTTAGAGGACCAACAGTACCTGATTTCAAAATTTCTCAAAGTTGTTTAGGTATTCTAAGTCTTTAGTATATCCATATGAACATTAGAATTACAATCCATAGGTTCATCATATACAAAAATTAACTCAAAATGGATCATAAACCTTAATGTAAAATCTAAAACTATATATAACTGTCAAAAATCTAAAACTATAAAATCTAAAACTGTTAGACTTATGCAGGTAACCTTTATGACCTCATGTTAGGCAAAAATTTACTAGATAAAATACCAAAAGCGCAGTTCACAAAAGAGAAAATTCATAGACTGGACTTCATCAAAATTGAAAACTTCTGATCTTAAAAAGAACAGGAAGGGGAACATCACACTCTGGGGACTATTGTGGGGTGGGGGGAGGGGGGAGGGATAGCATTAGGAGATATACCTAATGCTAAATGACGAGTTAATGGGTGCAGCACACCAGCATGGCAAATGTATACATATGTAACTAACCTGCACATTGTGCACATGTACCCTAAAACTTAAAGTATAATAATAATAATAGTAAAAGAAAAACAAAGAAGAAAGTTTTTAAAAAAACTGAGAGAAAATATTTGCAAGTCATGTATCTCATAAAGACTATGTATCTAGAACATATTTTAAATGTTCTCAAGAATCAATAATACAAACACAATATTTTAAAATTGGGCAAAAGATTTAAACAAACACTTCATCAAACAAGTTGCACTGTTGACTAGTAGGCACACTGATAGAAAAAGATGCTAACATCATTAGTCATTAGAGAAGTGCATATTAAAACTATGAGATGTCACTACATTTCTTCTAAAATGGCTAAAATTAAAGACTGACTATACCCAGTGTTAAGAAGAATGTAACTCTCACATACATGCAAAATGGTGTGAGTGCTTTGGAAATCAATTTGGGCTTTTCTTAAAAGTTAAATATCCACTTACTATATGATCCACACATTCTACTCTAAGATACAAAGATCTGTAAACGAATGTCCACAGCAGCTTTATTTTAATAGAAAAAAAAATAGAAATCAACTCCAATGTCCCTCAACAAGTAAATACATACACATATTTTGATATATTCATACCATGAAATACTATTCAAAAACTAAAAAGGAACAAGTTATCAATTAATGCAACATCATGGATGGATCTTAAAATAATTATTGTCAATTAAGAAGACATATCCTCCCTCCCCACCAAAAAAAAGGGAAAGAGTGTGGACTATATGATTCTGCTTATATAAAAGCCTAGAAAATGCAAACCAGTGTATAGTGATAGAAAGAAGACCATGGTTACCTGTTGCTTATGCTCACTTGGGTTTGTGAAAGGGAGAAATAACAAAGGGGCATGAGGAAGCTTTGCAGTGTGATATATGTGTTTATTATTTTGATATTTGTGTTTATTATTATAATGGTTTAATGGGTATATATATAATTCAAAATTAACCAAATTTTGTACTTTAATAATGAAGGCTTTATTCCATGTCGGTTATACCTCAATAAAACTGTTAATAAAAGTAGTGGTTGTAACCTATATCTATTATTGCTACTCTCTCCTGCCTTGTGCTGATTGAGACTTGTTTTGGGTTAGACTCTTTTCTTGTGATTAATGCACTCCATAGGATAATTGAGGCCCTCATCGATATCTGTTTTTTTCTCATTCAGACTGTTTCTCATTCACCAGACATACTCATAAAAGTTTGGATCCCAAGAATGATTTTTGTTCAACATTTCCTACCATCTCTTTACGCATTTCCTCCAAGAAATTCATGCTCTTATAAGTTGATGGCTGCAATTACTTACTGTTTTTTTACCAAACTCAGCATCTATAGCTCAGCCCTGACCAAAGATAGATTTAACACAATGCCATTACTTAAGGTACTAAATGTACTAAATCATTTCTATCATTCATATGTATATATATAATTATCTTCTATAATAGTGGTAGTTGCAAGACATGTAACCAACCATCCACTCAATGCAGTCACACAGTTTAACTTTGTAGTGTGTAAATTAATACCTGTATGGGTTCAGTGACTCATCACGCTTGAAGTTCATAAGGCCATGAAGATAGATTTGAGTCTATAAACAGAACTCAATAAACGCATATGGAAAAATGAAAGGGAACTAAACTGAAACTGAGTATTCCAGGACTTTAATTTTACTCTTTGATAGACATGTACACAAATGCAATTGACTTCATATGTGTATTCATGCATGCATGCCCATATTCATTCACTCAGCAAATACTTATCGAACACCTTCCCTGGACCAGGTGTGGTGTTAGGCTCTGGAGAAAATGTTAAAACATTCATATCCTTATTCAGAATATTTTAGAATAAGGTAAGGGATACGGGCATTAATCAGATAATCATACTACAGATTCTAAAATTATATGTGGAACAGTGCTACAAATGAAGTGTATTCTTTGTTATGAGTGTCTAAAACAGAGGTATTTGTCCTAGTTAGAGTTGTCAGGGAAGGATTTCCTGAGTAAGGAAAGGTTGACCTGAGACGAAGTTATCCAGGCCACAAGAGGATGCAAAAGATTTTTAGGCAGAGGAAACAGATGGAACTGGACAAATGGTCAATGCATTGAGTGTACAGTGAAATACACCCTTTCCAGGCAGACCTAATCCTCTGCACTTATTGTTTGACCATCTAGAAGCAAAGTCATTGATAAGATACTCTGTGGCCCTAAAGGAAAAATGAGCATCTAGATCCCTGTATAACTTCATAGAGCAAATCCCACTACCCATCCTCCAACTACATCAGTCTTTGTAATAAGCCATATAAATTTGTATTTTATCAGGCACTGCTTTTTGTGGTTGGTTGCTACAGGAGCCAGCATTAAATACTTAGGTTAATTTATAGGAATAGATTAGTTTATCTCTATACCCTTTTCCAACTGGAAAATGCTACGATTCAAATTTAGCATTTGAATATAAATATGGTCAAGTTCTTTCGTAGTTTGTATTTTGTTGAGTTTCTCAAACAAAACTGTATATACTTCATGGGTAAGCATTGCATTTCATTCATTTTCTTAAATCTACATAATAAACAACTGAGTAAATAACAGGTAGTCAATAAATGTTTGTTAAGCTATCAATCAACTGATCTTTCTTTGTCGTAGAGAAGTATTATTTCTTCAGTGCACTATACTAATTTTCACTTGTAATTTTCAGTATTTGCTGGAAAAAACACATTTGTATCTTCTAAGGAAACGCTTCCTGTGCTTAGAGTCTTGGAGTAAATTTTTCTTATTTTTCTGAGGTTTGTAATGACAACATCTGCAATTAAGATTATGTCCATAAAATGCTGAATGATTAATAACTTTAATAACATTAAACTGCTTTTAGTAGATTGCTAATAGCATTGGGATCAAAATATAAACCACAGCTAGTCATAATCACTTATGTTGAAAACATGTGGCTTTATGTTGCATATCTTCCAAATCAAGTATAAAATTTCTTTCAGCCAAAAGTGCTTAGAAAAAAATAAATACAGCTATAAATCCAAAATGTAATTACCATGTTTGAGATTATAGCAAATATCTGAAGGCATGTGATCAATTTGGCTTAATTATGTAACACAAAATCTAGCTACTAATTTTTTAAAAAATATGCGTCTTTCTTTCCAGAAACCAAAGGGATTTTTATGTCTAATAAAAGAAGTAAATGTATCAATTAACTGATTTTTTTGGTAATGTTGTCATTTTCATTGAGAAATAGAACAAATTCAGTTTTTTTTAACTGTGGTAAAATACATATAAACATAAAATTTACTATCTTAGCCATTTTTAAGTGTACAGTTCAGTAGTATTAAGTACATTCACAACGTTGTGCAATGAATCTTGAGAATTATTTTCAACTAACAAAACTAAAATTCTAATCTCATTAAACAACTTTCCATTCTCCTATCCCCCTACCACCTGGCAGATACCATTCTACTTTTTGGCTCTATGAATTTGACTATTGTAGAGACTACATAAAAATGAAAACATAGAGTGATTTTCTCAAAACAAATAGATTTTTTGAGAGATTGTTATTCTGACTACCTTTGGCAGTGATTTGGTTTGGTTGACAGTATCGATGCTAATCACTTTCTAGCTTGCCTTGTCTACCTGAAAAATTTTTCAGGTAAAAATCACCAGTGTTGCCACCAAAAATTGTATTTCCATGCTTCCCTTTTAGACAAGGCATTGTTGAGTGTTCTTCAAAAGGGACTGACTCAGCATGTGCCTTTTAATCTATTCTCTTCCTCACTTTTTTGATTCAAATACAGACATGATACCTGCGGGTAGAATAGGCCTCTTTTTACTAGAAAATGATAAGCATACACCAAGTGGCTGAGCAGAAACTGCCTGATGCCTGATAGCATCATGAAATCACCATACCTGTTCCTACCTACCTCTGGATTTTTTTTATTATGTGAGAAAAATAAGACATCTCAGACAGAACATAATTTGTCACTGACTTACCACTTTCTTCAGATAGAGCCACATGAAATGGATTCTTAAAATAGCATACCCAGTGGTGAAAACCATGACCTCATACATTTCGGACATATAAATATAAATATATATATATAAAATATTAGTATTATAATAGATACTATATATACACACATAATCTTGTCATTCATGGGTTGTTGAATATATAGCTGTATGCATGTTTCTTAGGTTAGAAATTTTAGTTGTAAATGAAGTGAAAACAGGAAGAATTAAGACTCAAGTAAAATCATCTTGCTTGAATAACCACATTTCAGTGATACTTTTTTCTTTGTCGTAGAATAAAATATAGAAGAGAATATTGTATACTGGATCTTCTTTCAATGAAAGCAAAAGAAATTGTAATAGAATGTTAGGAAACCTTGTCAGGAGGTATATAGATCTATACGACTATTTTCTTCTTGCTAAAAGGAAACACCAAAGGTCCAATGTCTTTGTGCAATTCCTCAACGCCTGCCTCTTTCTAAATTCAAATAAAATCAATATTTGTTTGGAATCATTGGTATCTGTGCAAAGTATAATGCTAGGTATAGTAGTAAAAAAATTCTTTAGCTGAGCTTCAGTCTTTGCTACCACATTGCTTTCCTACCACAATCTAAATTCAATATACGAGATAGACAAAATAGTATTATTTGGTGAGGCATTTGAACATAGATTTTATATATTATCATTTAAAAAGTATACCTAATCTAACATGTGGCTTGCATTTAGTAGATTGTCTAAAGTATTTATAAATAGAAAAATAAGGTAGAAATAAATTGTTCTAGGAAGCACAGTAGGGGGCAATTAATTTTGCCTGAAGGATCTAAGATTATGGGTACTCGAACTGAGTTTAGATGAGTATGACCTTGACAATTGAATATCTTATCACTGGGAGATGGCTTTGGAAAATTTTTGAAGGGCATTTAAAGAATGAAAAATGATAAAGGTGGTAAAAATAAACTGTATATTTCAGGAATGCCACATAGTCCACTGGGACTGGGTATGGATCAGTATATATAAGGAGATGCGGACTTAATGATAGGTACAAGTTATTTGATATTGGATTGTTTCTTCTGCCAGACTTTAGATATATTCTCTAAGCAGTGGGAAAACATTAATTTTTTTTTCAAGTGGAAGAGTGACCTAATCCTGCTTCTGTTTAGAAACATAACCTTGGGCAGTATGAGGATGCATGGGGACAGCTGGGAGACTACAAATGCTTAGAAAAGAGATGCTGAGGGCTTCTTTTAAGGACCTGTAGTTAAGAATGTGAAGAAAAGGTGACTATATCAAACAAGAAGCCTAGAGATTCTAAGACAACGGCAAACCATTGGATGGATGGTAAGAATGGAAGGATTCATTTAAAGATGAAAATAAATCATTTAGCTTTGGTTACTAGAAAGATGAGAAAATGAGACATAATAAACCTAAAAAATACAAAAGGAGGCAAAAATGTGGAAGGGAAAATACTGGATTCAGTTTTAGCCATGTACCATCAGAGGTGCCAGCAGGACACTGTATATAAATGCTCGGTAGAAAAGCTTGTTCTATATTGCTTGTTTTTAGGAGTTCCAAACAGGATGATATTATTAATAATGCCTGGATTTTTAGAAGACTTAATTTCTAATAATAACTATAATTATAATAACATTGTCAAAATACCTTGCATTTACATAATTTATAAAATTTTAAATATCTTTTTACATATTTCTGTTTAATTCTCACAATAATTCTGTAAGAGCTTTGAGTCAAACATTATTATCCCAGTATTTTAGAACAGTCAGCAAAGAGTGAGAGAAATAACATTATTTATAAAAGGACAGATAGCTAAGTATATGGTGAAGCTGCACCAAAACATAAGTCTTTTGAATCCTAATTTAGGTATGTTTTCACTTTACTATGTGACCTTGTGAACAAAAAGACAAGCAGGAAATTTTCAAACTCTTTTTGGTAATAGCAATAGTGTATCATAGAATACACAGAGTAATTTTTTGGAAAGGTTGTTATGTGTATGTAAATATAAAATAAAGGGACAGTCTATATGTCTATAGGTGCATGTATGAGTATATATGCACATACACATAGAGATACATGTGTATTTCTTCATTTACTTCAACCAAAACAATACATTATAGCAGATTGAGTGCAGAAGCAGAAAAAAGAATTCGTCTATCAATATAGATATTAAGAGACTTGAAATAATTTAAAGCAATGCCACTGTTTCCACCAAATGTTATGTTTTGAAAATATACTTATTTTGTGAAAACATGTAATTAGTTTTTTTTTTTATTATTATACTTTAAGTTTTAGGGTACATGTGTACAACGTGCAGGTTAGTTACATATGTATACACGTGCCATGTTGGTGTGCTGCACCCAGTAAACTTTCAGTTTCGATTGCAAATACAGTAAACATCGAAAACAAAAGCTCAATGATGGGTGGGTGTGGTGGCTCACGCCTGTAATCCCAGCACTTTGGGAGGTCGAGGCAGGTGGATCACTAGAGGTCAGAAGTTCAAAACCAAGCTGGCTAACCTGGTGAAACCCCGTCTCTACTAAAAATACAAAAATTAGCTGGGCATGGTGGTGCATGCCTGTAATCCCAGCTACTCGGGAGGCTGAGGCGAGAGAATTGCTTGAACCCAGGAGGTGGAGGTTGTGATGAGCCGAGATCGCGCCACTGCACTCCAGCCTGGGTGACAGTGCAAAACTCTGTCTAAAAAAAAAAAAAGAAAAAAAAGAAAAACTCAATGATGCTCTGAATTTTTACTAGTGAAACCAGCCCTGATACCAAAATATATAGGAAACATTGTTATAAACTATCAGATGCTTTACATGTAGCCATTGCTTTTAACCCTCAGGACAACTCTGTAAGGGATGAGACGTTATAGCTTGAGCCACAGAAAATACACGTTAACTGTGTTCAGACCCGGGCACTACCACTTACTAGGTGTGAATTCTAAGCAAGTTATTTAACTCCTTTGTACCTCGGTTTTATCATCCCTGCAACGATGATTAGGTATAAGTAGCTGAGCTACCTCCAGTGAATCTAAGAACTATGCCATGGTGTACCAAAGGCAGAATGGTTGAAATAGTTCACCCCAGGTACAGGCAGTAAAGGGGTTACACGAAAATTTACTAAAAGTCAGTTTGCTCTTTTTTTATCTTCATGTACCAGCAATTCTAATCAATGTCAGTGATAAAATACTCATTCTGCAAAGCCTGTTGTGTCGGACCAAGTTCTATTGCCTGCACCTAGGGTGTACATCTTCAATTGTCCCACCCATGCAGTCAACTATGCCCCTCTTAGATGTGCTGAAGTGGCCTCCCACTTCCAGAGCTCCCTATGGATCAGCGGCCAAGGCCTCTGTTTCAGAGGCTTCCCAGTTCAACCTCTCCTTCTATTCTATGCAATTTGCTCACTGTCTTACAGAAGTTGTTCCTGGGAGCACAATCCAAAAATCCTCATGCATATTAAACATGAGAATCTGTTTCCTAGGAAATTTGCCATAAGACAAGTAACTACTTCATGATCACACAGCAGAGAGTTTCAGCACCCCAAATCAAATGCTGCCAAGACTGCAGTACACTTGTAACTGCATTAACTACTATCTTATTTTATATATATATATATATATATATACACACACACACACACACATACACACAATTCCTTGATATATCTGATTCTTACAAAAAAAAATGATGACCAGCACTTCAGCGAGGCAAGATAGCTAGATTTTCCCTTTGGTCTGATATCCAGCCAAGAGCTTTGGTCACTAATGATTAAAGGAACAATGGTAACCTATATTCTGAATAAGTGACCAGAAGCCATTTTGAGTGGCAAACTTCTCATTCTGCAAAAGTTCTGAGTAATCACAAAGAAAGAAAGATTCTAGATCAGGGAGTAAACTTCGACCTTTCATCTCATTAGCAGAACACTTTTCCTTGATTTCCCTTTTTAAACTGTCTTCTAAGTGCCAGCTGCCAGGTCTTTGCTAATTTCCCTGCAAAAACAAAAGAGACTGTGATCTTGTAGACCCTGATGGTTTATCAAACCGTCAGCTACGCCTTTGCAATGCCTCATGCAGAATGCCTGCTTTATTTCTTTTGGTTAAAAAATACATTTTCTAATATTTAAGTGTCAAGGCATTGGAATTTTTACTTTTACTTTCTTCAGATCATAAGGAAGAAATGTTAATACACATAACTCCTCCCTAACAGAGCTCTATTATTTTATTTCTTTTATATCACTTGCAGTTACTGTTTTTCAAATTTATTTGTTAAAGAGTTTATTGTATTTCTGGCTCCATTAATGTAAACTTCATGAGTGTAAGGATCTATTCCGTCTTTTTGAAGTTGCTGGAATAGTGCATGAAACACAGTTGGTTCTCAATAAATGCTTGTTTGATAAAGGCATATCCCCAAAAGAAGTGATTGACCGTAAATTATGTGGGTCTACATTCTGAGATGTTGGTTAGAAATTTGGAAAAAAAGCCTCTGCTTTCTTCTTTATTTTTCAGCCTATAAATTTTTATTCATTCCTTATTCTTCATAGGCACTGTGTTTAGCATTGGATTTAAGGTGGCAGATGTAATGGATATAATCCCTGTTTTGAGAACTTCAGTAGAACACATAATGTATTTTATAAACTATATCTGTGCGATTTTATTAAGATTTTGATGGAAATTCTAGTGGTTAATATGTCGACACTTTTAGGTAACATTTGATTATATGACAACTAAAGATCAAGATGTATTGGGTCAATGCAATGTGCTAGCCATTGTGTTAAGACTTCAATAAAGTATTGAATTTTAATCCTAAAATATACTCTGAGACATAGACATTATTATCTCAATTTTTCCTAAGGAGAAAATAATGGAGCTTCATATAATGTAAGTAACTTGCTTGTCCTCACATTGTAAGTCTCCAAAACAGAATTGAGAAGCTGGAACCCAGGACTAACTCTCAACCCGTGAATTTTTCAGCCACCTTCAACCCAGAGAAGGAATTTAAACCTACAAAAAGAGATAACTTGGGAAACTCTAGTTTTTGAGAAAATTATTGAAATAAAAATATGACTATCCACTTGAACTTGCAATGTGAAAAAAAAGTCCTTTTAATTTTTATACCACAAGTTTTCATGAAATGCTTAGTAGTGACAAGTACTCTGAAATAATGACCGCTTTCAGATGGTTTATATATTTCTTCAGGTCCTAAGTTTAATCAGATATTATGTTAATATAGTATGAATTAAACATATTCTATGAAGGGAGACATGTAAGTGATTAATATGCAATCAAAAGGTGCTCAACACCATTAGTCACTAAGGAAATGTGAATTAAAGTCACAATGAGATACCATTGCACACCACCAGCACCAGCATGGTGAATTAAAAAGACAATAACACAGGCAACACCAAAATATTGGTAGGCTATGGTATAACAATAACCCTCATACATTGTTAGTAGCAATGTAAAATGGTACATTTAGAAAAACGTTCTGATAGTTTCTTATAAAATCAAATCTACCATATCCTATGATTCAGCAACCCACTTGTAGGTGCTTACTCAATATATGTGTAGTCATGTGATTACAAAAAGATATATGAAATAATGTTCATAGAAGCTTTATTTATCAGAGCTGAAAACTGGAAAGAGACCAGGAGAATGGGCAAACATACTGGAATATTTATACAATGGAATACTACCCAATATAAAAAGGAATGAACCACCAATATAAAACATAGATGAATTTCAAAAACATTATGTTGAAAGAAAGTAGCCTGACACAAAATATTGCAAACAATATGATTCCATGTCCATTAGGTTCTAGAACAGGCTGCATTAATCTATTATAAAAATGGTCAGAACAGTGACTTCTATGGAAGGTTGAGTGGGAGGATTGACGGAGAAAGAACTTAAGGTCTATCTCAGACTCTAGAATAAGAATAATATTCTGTATCTCTACAGTTGTCTTTGTTACATTGTTGTGTATACTTATCAAAATTCATCAAATGGTATACTTAAAACTTGTGGATTTCAGTGTAGGTGACATGGTTTTGCTGTGTCCCCATCCACATCTCACCTTGAATTGTTAGAATTCCCAAGTGTCAAGGGCAGGGCCAGGTGGAGATAATTGAATCATGGGGGCCATTTCCCCCATACTGTTCTCCTGGTAGTGAATAATTCTCAGGACATCTGATAGTTTTATAAAAAAGAATTCCCCTGCACAATTTTTCTTAACTTGCCACCATGTAAGACATGCTTTTGCTTCTCCTTTTCCTTCCGCCATGATTGTGAGGCCTCCCCAGCCATGTGCAGCTGTGAGTACATTAAACCTCTTTCTTTTATAAATTACCCAGTCACAGGTATTATTTATTAGCAGCATGAGAACAGACTGATACAGTTGGTATTTGGTAGTGAGGTGCCGCTGTAAAGATATCAGAAAATGTGGAGGTGACTTTGGACCTGGGTAATAACAGGCAGAGGTTGGAGCAGTTTGGAGGGCTCAGAAGAAGATAAGAAAATACGGGAAAGTTTGAAACTTCCCAGAGACTTGGAGGGCTCAGAAGAAAACAGGAAAATATGAGAAAGTTTGGAACCTCCTAGAGATTTGCTGAATGGCTTTTAGCAAAATGCTGATAGAGATATGGACAATAAAGTATAGGCTGAGGTGGTCTCAGATGGTGATGAGGAACTTCTTGGGAACTGAAGGAAAGGTTGTTATGCAGAGACTGGCAGCATTTTGCCCCTGCCCTAGAGATATGTGGAGCATTGAACTTCAGAGAGATGATTTAGGTTATCTGGCAGAAGAAATTTCTAGGTGGCAAAGTGTTCAAGATGAAGCAGAGCATAAAAGTTTGAAAAATTTGCAGCCTAACAATGCAATAGAAAAGAAAAATCCATTTTATGGGGAGAAATTCAAACCCACAGCAGAAATTTGCATGAGTAATGAGAAGCCAAACACTAATCACCACAGCAATGGGGAAAATATCTCCAGGGCATGTCAGAGACCTTCACAGTTACCCTTCCCATCACAGGTCCTGAGCCTAGGAGAAAAAAAAAAAATGGTTTTCTTGGCACGGCCCAGAGCCCCCTTACTTTGTGCAGTCTTGGGACTTGGTGCCATGCGCCCCAGCCACACCAGCCATGGCTAAAAGGGCCCAAGGTACAGCTCAGGCTATGGCTTCGGAGGGTGCAACTTCAAGTCTTGGCAGCTCCCACGTGGTGTTGGTCCTGCAGGTGTGCAGAATGCAAGAATTCAGGTTTGGGAACCTCCACCTAGATTTCAGAGGATGAAAGGAAATACCTGGATATCCAGGCAGAGGTGTGTTGCAGGGGTGGAGCCCTCATGGAGAACATCTGCTAGGGCAGTGCAGAAGGAAAACGTGGGGTTGCAGCCCCCACACAGAGTTCCCACTGGGGCACTGCCTAGTGGAGATATGAGAAGAGGGCCACCATCCTCCAGATCCCAGAACGGTAGATCCACAGACAGCTTTTACTAGGCACTTAGAAAAGCTGCAGACACTGAATGCAAGCCCATGAAAGCAGCTGGGAGGGGAGCTCCACCCTGCAAAGACACAGGGGTAGAGCTTCCCAAGGCCATGGGAGCCCACCTCTTGCATCAGCAAGACCTGGATGTGAGACATGGAGTCAAAGGAGATCTTTTTGGAGTTTTAAGATTTGACAGCCTTGTTGAATTTCAGACTTGCATGGGGCCTGTAGCCCCTTTGTTTCGGCCAATTTGTCCCATTTAGAATGGGTGTATTTACCCAATGCCTGTACCTCCATTGTATCTAGGAAGTAACTAACTTGCTTTTTATTTTACAGGCTCATAGGCAAAAGGGACTTGCCTGGACTCAAATGAGACTTTGGACTGTGGACTTTTGAGTTAATGCTAAAATGAGTTAAGACTTTGGGGGACTGTGGGGAAGTCATGATTGGTTTTGAAATGTGAGGACCTGAGATTTGGGAGGGGCCGGGGTGGAATGATATGGTTTGGTTGTGTCCCCACCCAAATCTCACCTTGAATTGTAATAATCCCCATGTGTCAAGTGCAGGGCCAGGTGGAGATAATTGAATCATGGGGGCTATTTCCCCCATACTGTTCTTCCGTTAGTGAATATGTCTCCAGAGATGGAATAGTTTTATAAATGAGAGTTCTTCTCAATCTGTCTTGCCTGCCTCTCTTGACATGCCTTTGCTTCTCCTTTGCCTTTCACCATGATTGTGAGGCCTCCCCAGCCATGTGGAACTGTGAGTCCATTAACCTTCTTTCTCTTATAAATTACCCAGTCTCAGATATGTCTTTATTAGCAGCATAAGAACAGACTAATACAGTAGGTAAATGTTACCTGAAAAAAAAAGCAAGTATTTAACTCTACTTAATAATATACAAACCACATATATAGGGACAAAGTATACTTATATTTGCAACTTACTTTGGACTGTATCATGGAATAAGATGGATGATATGGAGACGGATGTATGGATAGACATGTGCTCACTGTACAATTATTTCAACTTTACTGTATGTTTCAGTATTTTCATAATAAAATGTTAGAAAAAATAAGAATTTGCTTAAGTCCTCTAATATTGGAATTCTTGCATAAATTCTGTAAAATGAAGCCCTCCTGACTCTCTCAAACAGAATCAATCCCATATTCTTCTCTATGTCTATGAGGCATAGGAAATTAGGATGCTAAGCAAGAATTATTTGAATCTTCTTTTCATTATATATTTATTGCTTAAATATGTTACCTAAATGATGAATCAATGTTGTTGTATTATGAATTATTTATAAGTCGGTCACTGCTATGGCTATTTAGCACTCTGCTCTATACTACAGTTAGTTATATTAATATTTATGCTGCTACTAGGCCGTAGTACTTTGAAACCAGGGGTTATTTGTATGTATTTTTCTGTTTGCAACATTTAATGCACTGTTTTATGTACAGTTGGTACCCTCAAATTATTTGTTAAACAGAATTACATTATGATCATTGTTCACTTTTTTTACTTCCTATATGTCACTTTTTTCTTAACAGATGAGTCCTTCTATTCAGCCTTCCCAATCTTTATGATCTTTTCTGAATTTCTAGAAAAAATAGAACTGAAGTTTTTAATTAAAAGAGCAGTTTTGATTTTATGGGTAAAACTCCTGATCATTGTTTGGATTGCATATAGTGCTGTTCCATGTGAGAAATAATGGTTGCTCATATGTATTGCGTTAATGCCTTTTCAACAATTATTCTTACCTACAGGTGGAAAGACTTTCTGACTACCTTCCAAAATTTTTGTCAGATTTCTTAGAAAGATTATTTATAGTAGTTTCTCTACTAAACACTGGTTTTAAACAATATGGCAGTTCCTCAAAAAAATAAAAATAAAATATCATATGATCTAGCAATCCCAATCCTGAGTATATCTTAAAAATATAAAATCAGTATGTCAAAAGTGTCTCTACTCCTATGTTTATTGCAGCATTATTTACAGTAGCCAAGATATGGAATCATTTTGTGTCCAACAGCAGATGAATGGATGAAGAACATGTAGTAAGTGTACACAGTCACTGTACACTGTTATGGCTGATAAGCCATAAAATGAATGAAATCCTGTCATTTGAAAAAATATGCATGGACCTGAAGGACATAATGTTAAGTGAAATAAGCCAGACACAGAAATACAAATACTTCATGATCTCACTCATATGGAATTGAAAAAATTGAGCTGATATCCAGAGAATAGAAAGAACAGTGGTTACCAGAAATTAAGAGTCCAGGTACGTGGGAGGAGGGAGAAAGCGAAGGATAGGCTGACATTGGTCAGTGGGTACAAAGTTAAAATTAGATAGGAGGAATAAATCTGGTGTTCTGTTGCACAGAAGCGTGATGCTAAAGGTAAGGTGTTTTACAAAATAGCTAGAAGGGAGGTTTTTGAATATTCTCATTGCAAAAAAGTGATAAATGCATGAAGTGATGAATATGATAAATACTCTGATCATTATACAACATATGTATTAAAACATCAAAGTGTACTCCATAAATATGCACAATTACAATGTGTCAATTAAAAAAATGCCAGCTTGGTTTTTACATGATTCTGAGAACCTCATTGCAGAAGCAACCACTGAAGCATCATCTCGGTTGTTGATGAATTTGCTTGCAGTCATCATTGAGGTGACTTTTAGCTTCAGCACTAGTTGGTTTAGGAAGTAATTTGTAAATGATAATAGATACAATTATTTAGGTATCCATGATTATCATGACAGTAGGAAGGAGCTGGTAATAACCTGTGATTTCAAATCTAAGCAAAAGAAAGAAAATTGGTGAAAGAGAATATAACAATTCTGTGTTGAATTAAGTTCAAACGTATGTCAAGTATCTATATATTCATCCTGTTGAGTATCATGTCTAGGATACAAAAAAGCATGGAACATGGACTCTGTCCTTGACGGGCATATTTCAGTGCAAGAGGAGAAAACAGTCACCCCATGGAACAAGAAAATATGTCATGTTACTACAGTTAGGACCTTTCTAATTCACTCACCTATAACTTTCATAGAAAAGACCAACTTTTCATTAGTTGGAGGTTTAAGGTGGTTTTCAGAAGCTATTTTCAAAGTAGATAAAAGTAAAATTCTGATTTCCTCACAGCTCTGTCTCTGAAATATGGTTGTTGCAAAAACCACATCTGTCCTAGAGAGTGTCCCTGAAATGAACTAGAAGTTGTACCCACAATCTCTGAGAGGTGGCACTATGAGTCTGGACGAATTCATGACAGAAGAAAGAAGTGAGGGGAAAGAAAATATGGGAATTTTTAGTACACAGGTAGCAGGAATATTGGTAAAATGGTTTTATTTTTTTACATACATAGTCACTGCTCAGTACCAAATAATAGTGACAGCTCATTCCATAAATATATGATTTTAATGAGGTTAAGTGCATATTAGTTTTCAGTTTTATAAATTAAAAATCTATTAAACTTTTTATGAAATGGCCTACTACTAATAATCTCATCAATATCCATATGGTTATTTCTTTGTTAATAAATATGATTTTAGATTAATAAAAATAAATTTAGATTAATATTTTAAGGATTTTAAATATTTCACTAAACACATAAATAGACATCAATACAATGGCTTCCTTTCTTATTTAGTATTAGTAAGTCAGTACAGCAGAGTGAATAAGAATGTCTTCTCTGCAGCTCAACTCCCTGACTTCAAATTCCATGTGGAGAGTTAATAGCTGTGTTAATTTGAGTGAGTTAATTTACTTCTTTCTGGCTTAAATTTCTTATCTACAATAGAATGTGTAATATTGGCATGAGGATTTACAAGTTCATGTGTGCACGTATGTAATATTTTCTCTATATATCCATAGACATATATATCTACATATAAATATATACATGTGTACACACTTATATATATGTATATATGTATAAGTGCATACATGTATACATTTATATGTAGATATATATGTATTTACATTATGTATATAAAATCTTCGTTTTCTGACACATAGTAAATAATTGAATAGTAATGCTTGCTATACAGATATAGGCACAAAATATTATATACATAAGCATTATATATATCTTAGATCATTGCCTGGAATGTATTTGCTACTATTACTTGCTATTTAAAAAGTATATGTATATATGTAACATTATGAATTGTGTATGTAATATATATCTCTAATATTATATATGCACTTATATGTGATATTTCATATATATAGGCACAAAATATATATGCATTTATATTTTGGAACATTGCATGACACACTGTAATTACTATTATTATTTAGTAATAGCAATGTGATGAGAAGAATAGGTATACTTCTGGAAAATATTAGATTTTTAAAAAACAATTTATAAAAATACAATGTAATTCTGTTCAGTATAATTAGAGTTGCTCCTACCCTTTCCATCTGGTTGTTTTTAGCAGCTTGAAATAACATAGCCTGCTTTTAAGGCTAATTATTTTAAATATTGGCTAATCATGGCAAAATTTAAATTACCAGGGCCGATTTACCCAGCAAATTTAGATACCTGCGTATTTGACATCTACCCTTGAATGTCTAATAGGCATCTCAAAATGGATATGCATAAATAAAACTATTGATTATCTGCACCCCACAGCCTGTTCTTTAGTATTCTCTCTTTTCTTAATTGGCACCACCACCCATCAAGTTGATAAGGTTCCAAACCGTAGAACCATCATTGACTCTTTTCTTTTGCATCCTAAATCCAGTCAATCCATTGGTGAGATCCAATTAGCTCTACATCCATATACTATACATAGATAATTCATGAATTTCATCCATTTTTGCTACCGCTTGGGTACAAGGCCACTAACACCTTTACCTTACACCTGGAACCACGGGAGCATAGTCACTGTATCTCCACTTCACCCTGCAGATTCCTCTCCACAAACAGCTAAAGTATCTTTAAAAAGAAAAAAAAAAAGAGAGAGAGAGAGGGCCGGGCGCGGTGGCTCACGCCTGTAACCCCAGCACTTTGGGAGGCCGAGGTGGGCGGATCACGAGGTCAGGAGATCGAGACCATCCTGGCTAACACGGTGAAACCCCGACTCTACTAAAAATACAAAAAAAATTAGCATGGTGACATGGTGGTGGGCGCCTGTAGTCGTAGCTACTCGGTAGGCTGAGGCAGGAGAATGGCGTGAACCTGGGAGGTGGAGCTTACAGTGAGCTGAGATCGCGCCACTGCACTCCAGCCTGGGTGACAGAGCGAGACTCCATCTCAATTAAAAAAAAAAAAAAAGAGAGAGAAAGCAAGGAAAAATCAGAGAATGTCATTTCACTGCTCAAATCCCTCCAATGATTTCCCATTGCAGTTAAAATAAAATCTAAACCTGTGAGTGCTTAACGGACATAAACCCAAGGCTCTTCTCACTTCATTGCCTTTGACTCTCCCTCTCACTTTCTAGGTTCCAGCCACACCTTGATGTTCTGAGAACACACCCAGTATGTTCCTACCTCACACATAGCTTAGCTCTTGTATTTGCTCTTACCTCTATGTGGATCACTTTTCTCCTGGTTATCTTAACACCTGACTCAATTTTTTCCTTCAAATCTCAGCTTAGATGTCAACCCCTGAAAGAATCTTTCCTAACTACAATATTGCACCTTTGTCATTTTCAATTCCCTTACCTTATTTAGTTATCTTCATAACATTTATTCTTAATGACATATTTAATATTTATTTGTTTGTTTAATATTGATCATCTCAGTAGAATATAAATTAAACTCTATGAGGGAAAGGACATAATGTTTGATATACTGCAATGACCCCCTGCTTAGTTAAGCCCCTTGCCCATGGTAGATGGAAAACAAATATTTATTCATGAATGAATAAATGATTGGTAAATTCCAGTGTATGTAAATTATCAAAACATTGAAAAGTAGTTTGTTGAAGTGAGGGTGGTGATTGTGGTTACAGCGGAGATTAAATAAAACTTACGACATAGTATCCACTATTCAAGACTTGTTTTCCTATGATTCTAAAATTATCTAACCATGAAGCATTAAACTGATTTGTGAAAAAATATCCATAAGATGAGTTGATTTATTCAGTACTATCTACACCATTTCCCTGGAGATTAAATGGAAAGTGATGAGTGAAAGCAATTTCAAAAGAAGCAGCAAGAACTGGAACAGGTTGTTTTATTAGTTATGAAATAAACCTATACCTTTAAATATTAATAATTTCCCCATGATAATTTATAAAGTAATAGTTAAGGTTCATAATATCGATAAATGTTTTAATTTTTAATTGTTTTGAGATCATTAATAATATTTTAGTGGGGCTGTTAGCTCTCAGTAAATCCTTTTGAGTTGGATCAAGAAAATGCTTATAATGTCTTTCTATATAAGATACGTAAATCCACAGGATGGCCACACAGGTTTTATAAATTGATTTACAAACTTCAGTTATCTGCCCCATGAAAAGCAATGTTTTGAAAAGGGTAGTGAGAACAAAAACCACACAAATCACACAAGCCTGTAGTTTGATTTCATTCACAATTGTCACAGCACATAAGAGTGCAGAGAGAGAGAGTGAGATAACCCAATAAGGTAGATGAGAGATTAAAAAAGTATCATCACTCACTTGTGATTGTATTCCCTTTCCTCAGAAGGCACACAAAAAAATCATCTCTTTATCTACAGCTCAATAAAGCAAAATCTGAGTGATGTCACCATGAATGAAAATGATTTCATAGAAACCATTACAGGATGTGCTGAAGAATAACCCAAGGGAAAGAAAAGATAGGAAGATTATTTGATTGAATAACATCAGGTGCATATACATATTTTACATAAGCATATTCCCATGATAGATATAGAATCTAATTTGAGATTTGTAACTCTTTCATAAAAGCATCCATGTTTGTGATCTTGCAAAGCTGCTTACCCCAAAGATAAATTATATCCCTAGGTTTTCAGACAACTAGCAATGGCCTTACATATGTCCCTTTTTCATTTTACATTTTAACTTTATTTAATAAATGCAAAGAAGTTTAAGATATTGTGACGTGGCCTTATATAACTTATTTGACAAGGGATTGACTAACAAAATAATACTTACTAGCGCTGTAATTTCTTATGGCACTTTATTTGTTAATGCTAGAATCTAATAGATGTTTTCCAGTTGAACCTATTATTTGGGGAAATTAACATACATGAGATATGAGAAAAACATGTATTCAAAAGGAAAAAGTGCAGAGACAATGAAAACTCAAATTAAATCATATATTTATGCTAAAGGGATCTTTTAGTTGTGTTTGTTTTTATTTAACAGAAGAAGTCTTATATTTAAAGGCCTCAAACAACTATTAAAGGAATCTAAATTGATTAAATCTTCCAAAGAAACTGATTCTAAATATCTACAGGTAGTTTTAAAAAAGAAAGAAAAAGTCTTGTCTCATATCAAGAAGTGTTCAGAAGTGGTCTATTATTAATAATTAATTTAGACTCCTCTGTCAAAACATTAGTCATATGTTTGCTATTAATGTCAGTTTAATCGATGCTTTCATGTGGAAATCTCAGATTTCTGCCTAATATGGCTTTCCAAGACAATACTCCAAGAATAGGGTGAGTGGGGAGGGGGAGTTAATAAGAAATGTCTAATCATTCTTTAATTACCATTTAAAATAAATGACACTCAAACAGAAAATGTGATGAAAAATAGATTAAAATAGAGCTATTACTCACACAAGATAGACAGTTTTTCCTCTCTATTTCAAAGCCAACCCCTAGCAGATAGGCAAAGACCCAATTAGTTGGATAAATGAAAAATTTACTTGAATGTTATCAAAAAATATGGTGGGCAAATAACTAATTTGCATGTGCCCTTTGTATAATAGACAGTAGTGTTCAAAAGAAAAGAAAACAAATCCAGAAAACAGAAAACATCTGTACTGTACTGTTCATCTCTTCTCATTTATGCATGCCCATGTTTTTACCTCTTTCCTAGCTCTTTGAAAGTGTGCTTACGTAAGTGTTATTGCTTTCAAACAGTCAAGTCCTATGCCAGTTTGGAGGATATGGGTGTTTTAATGAAGAATATATAATACTTGAAATTATGAGGTTTGTGTTCAAATTGTGACGAGGTAATATTAAAACAATTATTTTATGCTTTTTAAAAGTATGTATTTTACTACCTGAGTGTCAATTTAAATCATAACTATGGCATTTATTACATGTGTGCCTTTGAACATATAATTAAATTTTATAGTCTCAGGTTCCTCATTTGTTAAATAGGGCAAAGGACACTCATCTTAAATAATTGTTAAGTAATTGAACATAGAAATGTCTAGCATATTGCTGGGGCATGGGAAACACAGTAAATATTAACTAAATCTGCAAAAAAAGTTTTAAATCTGAAAAAGTGTCCTGAGACACTTGAAAATAGAAAATAACTTTGGAAAACAGGAAATAATAATTTTATTGTTTTTTGTCCCAAAGAGAAGACAATGGATTCCATAAATTATTGATCCATGAGCTTGATATCTCTCAAGAGCAAAATTCTGCAGTGGATTAAATACATGCTCTGTGAGCATTTACCAGAGGAAATGGTTATGATCAAGAGCTATTGAATATTTATAGAACATATACATTTTAAATTGACCTTTTATATGTATTTCATAGGTACCTGACAAACTATGAAGGTGGTTTATTGTAGCCAAACATTTGTGAGGTATTTACTGATATTATTAGTATTTAGTAAATATTCCTAAATATATAAAAGTTTCAAATCAAGCTAAGAAACAGTTACATAAAAAATTATTTGATCTTACAACTTTGCAAATTATATCTTTATTATGATGAAATAAAAGTATGGATAAGCTATCGTTCTCACATGACTAAAGTTGGGAAATATCAAACATGATTAAATTTATGATTCTATGTGTCTAAATTGCTACTGAGGCTAGTACCTTTTGGGTAAGTAATAAAAGGAAGATGCATAATTCACAAATTGTTACATAGTTATCTCATAAATTGTTTTCTTGACTTCATTTTAGCAAAATCACTATTTATATTATTAATAATTGTGATTTTCATTTACTTTTTGTTCTCCTGACCGTATGACACAAATTATTAAAGTATTGTGATTGCATTTGTGTGATATATAATTATTTCATAAAATGTATAGATTAATATAAAAGTATAAAATCTTACAAAATATTCATAATTAAGTAAAAGAAAAATTATAATTATTAATAATATTAACATTTTAAAATAATATTTCAATAAAGCTGATTTTTAAAAATCTAGATCTTATAAAATATTTTTTTCAATTTTATTTGGAAGTAATTTTAAATTTATAGATAACTTACAAAATAAAGAAGTACAAAGAACACTCATATACTTGTACACAGATTTGTCTGTTGTTGACATTTTATCACATTTGGTTTATCATTTACTCTTTGTTTTCTATACAAATATGTAAGCATACACACACACATAATTTCTTCCTGGGTTATGAGTAAGTTAGGTATATCATAGCCCTATACCTGTAAATGATTTATTGTCTATTATCTAAGAATAGGTATATTCTTTTATATTACCACAGTTTAGTCACAACTTCAGTACATTTAACTGGGTATATCATACATTTATCAGGTCTACCATTGTACTTCAAAGATTGACTCAAAAATATAACATTTTGTTCCCCTAGTAAGGGATACAGGATAGGGTTAGGAATTGCATTTGATTTTCATGTCTCTTTGTACTCCTTTAGTCCAGAACAGTTCCAGTGCTTTCTTTCACTTTTATGACATGGACATTTTGGAAGAATACAGTCAGTGCCTCTCACTGTGTTTTGTTTCATTTTGTGTTGTTTTGTTTTTCTTAATAGAACATTTCACATTTTTGTTTTCTGACATTTTATTGGATGTAGTTTTGACTTATGCATTCTCATCCAAAATACTGCCTAGGTCATGATGTCGTGTCCTTTTCAGGATATCACATCTACAGGTATGCATCTTAGTCCATTGGGGCTGCTATAACAAAATACCATACAGTGGGTGGCTTAAATAACAAAAATTATTTTCAAAGTTCTAGAGGCTAGGAAATCTCTGATTCAGATGCCAGCAAATTGTGTGTCTGGCAAAGACCCTCTCCAGTTTGCAAATAGCTACCTTCTTCTATGCTCATATTGTGGAAAGAGGGAGTGTGCTAGTCTCTTTTTCTTTTGGTAAAGGAGCTAGTGCCCTTTGGGGGCACCACCCTCATAACCTCATCCAAACTTAATTACCTATCAAAGGCCCCACGTCCAAATGCCATTGCATTAGGACTTCAACATATGAGTTTGGGGATGACAAACATTCAGTCCAGCGCAACACAATGTCCCTTTTTTGTGTCCCCTGTTAGAACTAGGAAGTAGTCTTCAAGAAGACACTTTATTTATAAACAATCTCATATGCTTAAATAATAGGTAGTTTCTAATATTTTGCAGTTATATGTAATGTTGCCATGAATAACTTTGTAAATGTATATTTTTATATTTTTGAAAGTGTTAGTGTAAATTCCTTGAAGTGGGATTCCTGGGTGGAAGGGCAAACGCATAGTAGCTTGGGAGAATTCCCTCGTTAAGACAATCGGAGCCCGGTGCTTTGTTGTGGGGTAGTTCCCTGGTAACTATCTCTGTTTCGTGTATGGTTAGTCATCTGTTAAAACTATCTTCCTCTACTTCGGTAAGTTTTGGTAGTCTATTTGCCTAAGATATTATCCATTTCCTGCACATTTTCAAAGATACTATAAGTGGGTAGAATGTACTAGCATGATTTACAAAAAAACTTCTCTGTATGAATAATTATCTCCCTCTTGTCATTTCTTATTTTGTGAATATGTTTTCTCCCTACTTTTTAAATTATATTAAATAGTGTGTTTCCTATTTTAATAAAAATTTGTACATATCAGAATTATTATATGTTAATGCAATCTATTGATTTTTCTGTTCTTTACCTCATTTATTTTTGCTTGTATGTTTATTATTGTCTTCTTTGTATTTTACTTCATTTTGCTATTTTTAATAATTTTATGTGATGGGAATTTGTTACATTTTTATTTCATTGATACATATTTTTGGAGACTTGAATTTTCCTCTGATTTCTGTTTTAATTATATCTTACAGTTTCTGATATAGCAGATTTATTATTTTTCAGAAGTTGTATTTCTGTTTGTATATCCCTGTCATCCAAGAGCCATTTAATAGAACCTCTTTTAATGTGCAAGCAAGGACCTTTTGCATTTTTTTTGTTCATTTAAAATTTCTAGTTTTATTTTATTGTGTCAGAGAAAGTTGATTGTAACATTGCTACTTTGGACTTGCTGATGTTTCCATTGTGCTCAAGAAAATGATAAACTTTTGTGAAACTTCCATGTGAGTATCTATCTATCTATCTATCTATCTATCTATCTATCTCTCTGTCTGTCTGTCTGTGTGTCTATCTATCTTGAGATAGGATCTCATTCTGTTGCCCATTCTGGAGAGCAGTTGCATGATCACAGCTCAATGCCGCCTCAACTTCCCAACCTTAAGCAGTCCTTCCACTTCAGCTTTCTGAGTAGGTGGGACCACAGGTGTGCACCACCACACCCTGGTAGTTATTTTTGAAGAGACAGTGTCTCCCTATGTTGCCCAGGCTGGTCTGGTCTCAAACTTTTGGGCTCAAGTGATCCTCCTGCTTTGGCCTCCCAAAGTGTTGGGATTACAGGTGTGAGCCACCACACCTGGCCCAGTAGCAATATTTTAAATCAAAAGTATTTAAAGCCGAATTTTATTTAATATATAGTAATTTGACCTCATTAAGTATTTTTATTAAGACAAAATATCTCATATTTTTAATGTTTACATTTTTAGTGTTCATATTTCTTGTGGTCACATTTCTAGTGTTCAAGTTGATTCTCAATGTAAACAGTTGTTACCTTTCATCACAAATGCTACATTTAGACCAGAGTTTCTCAACCCAAGCATTACTTATATTTTGTGCTGCCTAATTTATTGTTGCCCTGGTCTAGTGAGAGCATAGTTCCCACTATATGTATTTTTTACAACTTTTGCTTTTTCCTCACAATATTTGTAGATACATCCATCTTCATTATAGTATATCCTTTATGATTATGTCATAGTGTTCTACAATATGAATTTAACAATCTAACTTAGATTTTCCATTGTGTCTGTTCAATTCTGCATTGAATATCCTTATAAATACGCCTTATTTTTGCATATGTGTGATTGAACCTCTAGGGTATATATCCAGAAGTCAAATTGCTGGATTATCAAGAATGTACACTTTACATGAAATCCATACAGCCAAATTGCCTTCCAAAGTAGCTGTGTCTCTTTAAAAATTACTTCAGCACTGTATGAGAAAATACTTTTCCCACAACGTTGACAACATTTGATATGATCAGAATTTTTATTTTTTTATTTCAGATATGATTGAAATCTGCTAGGAAGCTATATCTCATTTTTAAAGGAAAAACAATCTTTAATATATTTATTCAGAATTTTTATGCCTCTTCTATAAATAGCCTGCTTATAGGTCTTGACCGTTTTTATAGGCTTCATTTTAACTTTTTTTTTGTATATTATGACTATTACCTATTTTGAAATATTTTCTTCTAGAATGTTACTTGATTTTATTTTTTGTCCTTTAAAAATCATTATGTAACCAAAAATCTTAATTATCATATGTCTTTCGCTTTTGGTGTCTACTTTTAAAAGGCTTTCATGGCTTCACTGCGATAACCAATTTTTTCCTAAATTTTCTTCTTAACTCTCAAGGTTATGTATGCGTGTACATGTCTGTATCTACACATGCATCTATACACGTATTTTATATTTAGGTCTGTAATCCAGCTGAAATGTATTTTATCAAAACATTATAGCTATTTTCAAGTACTCGATAAACTCATCAAAAAATAACATTTTCAGTTGATTTATTAAAAAGAAACTAGAAATAATTGATGAAAATCGTAAGAAATCACAATTAATCTGAATTTAATGATTCATGGGTGCTGTTCAATGATAAGAAGTGCTACCATCACTGCATATGCTTAAGAAAATACCAAACAACCTGTCTGAAGAATCAGGAAATTGATGACAAGGAATTCTTCATTAGATATGAAGTTTGATTTCCAATTCTGAGAATCTCTGGTACAAGCCAATATTCACAATATTTGGCTTATTCGGTTTTGAAAAATATATTTTGATAATTATTTTTTTAACTTAAAATCATTATACATGCAACATGATCTATATATGTATAAAAACTATATGATGCAGAGAAGCAAGCAGAAAAAATGTACATCCAGGAGCTTAACCCCTGTATTTATTTTGAGCTGTATATAGGTACATATATTTACATATAGATATATTAAGATATACACACAAGTATTTTTATGAATTGGGATTCATACTATAAATACTTTCATAACTTGCTGTAACATGAAATGTAAATTACAAACACTTTTTCATGCCATTCAGTATATAGCTATATCACTTTTAAGGAGGACATAATCCTAAATAATTCTATTATAATTGTTGGATATTTAAGTTGTGTGTAGTTTTTTTTTTATAATCAATGTTATAATTAACACATACATACTTTTATATTTGGGAAATCATCCATGTTTTGTTCTTACAGAAATATCCTAGATATGGTAAAAATCTAAAAATGAGTGTAGCAAAAATGACTAAAAATATATGCATATTTTAAAAGCTTTTAATACATTTGGCCAAATTCATTATTGATGCATTCAAAAAGTATTGATTGAGCACTTGTTTCAGGAACTATTTTATTGAAGATACAAGAACAAACAACATAAACATAGTTCTAATCCTCATAGAGCTTAAAATCCAGTTAGGGAAACAGATATTAAGCAAATAATAACACTGATAAATAAAAATAATGGTATCAGTTATGTATACACCATGTATATGATGTATACATAACATATGTATACATCAGTATATACCATGTACCAAGCCCTATTATAAGTACTTTATATAAATAAACTTTTAAAAACTTTCACAGCGATACCATGATATAGAGTACAATTATCATTTCCATTTTTTTCAGATGGGATAATCAAGAAGCCATATGATAAAAAAAAAACTTGCTTAAGTTTACAGAGTCAGTAAGTTGTGAAACCAAAATTCCAAATTTGATTCCAGTGTTTGTATTGTAACCAGTAAATATGCAGAAAATTATAAACTCTTTAAGGGAAAATGCAGAGAGTTAAAGAAGCAGAAACAAACAAACAAAAAAACCATTTATTTAGCAATTGCGAATCATTTGGTTAATTATTCTAAAGAGATTAAATGTCCTTCTTGCATCAGGAATCCTGTAAAGAAAGTCAGGAAAAATGCCTTTAAAGAAGCATAATTCAACTATTTATAATAGGGTAGCTCTACTTGAATAATATAGTCCCAGTAGCTAAAAATTATTACCTATCTATAACCCCAAGCTGGCCAAATCGTTAATGGTGCTTTATTGGCATTGATCGACTGCCTCATTGCTTCATCAGATAGTTTTGCATGAGTAATTGTAGGTCACTACTTGTAAAGTGGTTGAATTTGCATAGTGCACATTAATCAACAATCATTCTTGCTTTGAGAAATAGTGAAACAGATGGCAACAGCAATAGTACAAGTGACTGACTTGCCTCAGCAGTCTGGGTGGATATTCAATCAAGAAAATTAGTTTATTGTGGTGATGATTTATTTTAGCTTCCAATTGCTGTCTCCAAGTAGCAACTCAATAAATAAGACTTTCTGAAATGTCTCCAGGTTTGTTCCCTACAATTTCAACAACAAAATGATGTCTTTAGTATTACATGTTAAAAGCCAAATACCTTCATAAGCTGTTTCCTATTGGCACTAATTTTTCAACTGCTTTCATGATACCTGTTGCAATTTCTGCCTAATGCCACTTGTTTATGAGCTGACTATGGTAAGCATCACTGCTGTATCTCCAGTATACTCTTTATTGTTACTTTATTGTGGATTCAACCCCTAAACAATTTTTTTATTGATTCAAGTTTAAAAATTATAGTATCAGCTCTATAAAAAGCATATATTTACTGTTACTTTCCTACTGCCTTATTTTTCTTGGAGATTAATTGGAGCAAACAAAACCTGTTCTAGTTTGACATGATCCGTGCTATTGGGCAGAGTGGGATGAGTAAGCAGAGTTCCCGATTCCCTCAGGTGTATTTACTCTTGTGTCCGGAATTGGTGGGATCTTGGTCTCACTGACTTCAAGAATGAAGCCGCAGACACTCGCGGTGAGTGTTACAGTTCTTAAAGGCAGCGTGTCGGGAGTTTGTTCCTTCTGATGTTCAGAAGTGTTTGGTATTTCTTCCTTCTGGTGGGTTCGTGGTCTCGCTGGCTTCAGGAATGAAGCTGCAGACCTTTGCAGTGAGTGTTAGAGCTCTTAAGGCGGTGCGTTTGGAGTTGTTTGTTCCTCCCGTCCGGAGTTGTTCATTCCTCCCAGTGGGTTCGTGGTCTCGCTGGCCTCAGGAGAGAAGCTGCAGACCTTCGCGGTGAGTGTTACAGCTCATAAAGGCAGTGTGGACCCAAAGAGTGAGCAGCAGCAAGATTTATTGCAAAGAGCAAAAGAACAAAACTTCCACACTGTGGAAGAAGATCCAAGGGGATTACCCACTGCTGACTCGGGCAGCCTGTTTTTATTCCCTTATCTGGCCCCACCTCCATCCTGCTAATTGGTCCATTTTACAGCGAGCTGATTGGTCTGTTTTACAGAGAGCTGATTGGTCTGTTTTGACAGGGTGCTGATTGGTGCGTTTACAATCCCTGAGCTAGACACAAAAGTTCTCCAAGTCCCCACTAGATTAGCTAGACACAGAGCACTGATTGGTGCATTTGCAAACCTTGAGCTAGACACAGGGTGCTGATTGGTGTGTTTACAAACCTTGAGCTAGACACAGAGTGGTGATTGGTGTATTTACAAACCTTGAGCTAGACACAGAGTGGTGATTGGTGTATTTACAATCCCTTAGCTAGACATAAAGGTTCTCCAAGTCCCCAGTAGATTAGCTAGACACAGAGCACTGATTGGTGCATTTACAAACCGTGAGCTAGACACAGGGTGCTGATTGGTGTGTTTACAAACCTTGAGCTAGACACGGACTGCTGATTGGTGTATCTGCAATCCCTTAGCTAGACATAAAGGTTCTCCAGGTCCCCACTAGATTCAGAAGCCCAGCTGGCTTTACCTAGTGGACCCCACACTGGGGCTGCAGGTGGAGCTGCCTGCCAGTCCTGTGCCATGTGCCCGCAGTCCTCAGCCCTTGGGTGGTCGATGGGACTGGGCACCGTGGAGCAGGGGGCAGCGCTCCTCGAGGAGGCACGGGCCA
Source organism: Homo sapiens (assembly GCF_000001405.40). Taxonomy (NCBI): domain Eukaryota; kingdom Metazoa; phylum Chordata; class Mammalia; order Primates; family Hominidae; genus Homo; species Homo sapiens. The sequence continues at coordinate 51,151,694 of NC_000002.12, forward strand.
CGCGGGAGCCCACAGTGGGGGGAGGAGGGAGGCTCAGGCATGGCGGGTTGCGGGTCCCGAGCCCCACCCCGCGGGGAGGCAGCTGAGGCCTGGCGAGAATTCAAACACAGTGCTGGCGGGCTGGCACTGCTGGGGGACCCGGCGCACCCTCTGCAGCTGCTGGCCCGGGTTCTAAGCCCCTCACTGCCCAGAGCTGGCAGAGCTGGCTGGCCACTCCAAGTGTGGGACCTGCCAAGCCCACGCCCACTCGGAACGCCCGCTGGTCCACATACGCCAGCATGCAGCCCCAGTTCCCGCCCACACATCTCCCTCCACACCTCCCCACAAGCAGAGGGAGCAGGCTCCGGCCTCGGCCAGCCCAGAGAGGGGCTCCCATGGTGCAGCGGCAGGCTGAAAGGCCCCTCAAGCGTGGCCAGAGTGGGCGCCAAGGCCAAGGAGGTGCCGAGAGCGAGCAAGGACTGCGAGGACTGCCAGCACGCTGTCACTTCTTACTTTTTCACATCAATGTTAGCTTCCAGAGGAAAAAAAAAGATACTTATATTTTAAAAAATCAGGGGAAAAGATCAAAGAAGAGGCAAAAGTTGTAACCTCTACACGAGAAGAAATCAGAGTAATGACACTGTGTCTTCAAGACTGATAATGCTTACCACAGATAAACAAACATTAAGTCAGCAAACATTACAAATGATGACTCCATTTCTTATATGAGGCTGCATTATTAACCTTAAGAGTAATTACTGTCTCTCTCAGATATGTTGTAAACTTCTCAGAATCTCTGTCCTTGGAAACTTTAAAAACAGATGGGATGTAGGGATTTCAGAATTGATATCCAAGCATGCAGTTGAATACACCAAATGAACCTTAGTCCTTTCCAATTACATAATTCTATGGTCATGGGAAAGCTCAAATTCCAATCTTGTCTTGGTATATTTGGTCGGTTTTTGACAGGAAAGCAGCTGGTGTTAGGGGTTGTATAATGAAACTTCAACCACCAATTGTGCTAATTGTAGTGAAATGTGAAGGAACGCATTCTGGTCTGGTTATTCTCATTGAACCAGTTTTCCTAAATCTTACACACTTCACTTTGAGTTGGGTTATAGAGCTCTTCTAACCCCAGTCAGTCAACACAACATCAACAAAATCTGGAATTCTCTGAACAGATGGGGTAGCAAAGGACCTGAGTACATGGATACAGATTAATGTTATGGCAGAAGTGAAATCTAGTAGGTAATAGATGGCATCTAGCAGATATAGTCTTTAATACATCTTGGAGGAGGTCTGCAAGATGAAGGGAGAGAGTCTATTCCAACACAGAGGTAAAACATTGTAACAGGAACAACGCAGTAAAGGTTGCTGCTTGGGCATTAGCAGCAGAGCATGACACCCAAATGGCTCCAGCCAGTAGCCTGAGATAAGAATTTAGAAGCATCTCTCCCTCTGAGTGGACTGCGCTCCCCACTTTCCTGCTGTGCCCTTTAAATGTAGCCTTTTGGCATTTGCCAATGAACTTAAAGTGACCTACGCCCTATTTCACTATATATGCTGCTAGTGCCACTCTCTTTTGCTTTCTCAGTCCTGCCTTCTGTGACCTGGGGGCAAAGGACTGCCTTTCCAACTCACAGTACCCTCCCTGCCCAGGATCTGTAAGTAAAATCTTTCTGCTTGGTTCCTGCTGTGGTGGTGTATTGGATTTGTGCCTTCCATCTGAAGAAGCAGATGCTTCCCAGGCCTGGTTTTTCCCTTGGATGCTGAGGAGAGCACAGGCTGGGCTCCTCACACCATAGTGATGATCAGGCAGGCATAACTGAACACAAGTCAGACAAGAACCACAAGAGTGTCTGCCAACATAAACAAGTTTCCCATGTGAAGGATGCCCCTGTTAGGCATTAGACTGTCTTCCAGGTAAATTAAGCATCCCATGAAAATCACACTGTAAACAACCACGTCCATCTCCCCTTCGGTTCCCATTAGAGCAGGATTGCTAGATGCTCTGGTACTGGAATGCCAATTTATGTGGGGGCACTCTAAACAAACACAAGAACAAAGACTATCTGAGAAGCTAACAACATGAAATCCAGACAGGCAACTCAGCATTAGGTTAGTCTGTTGGAAAATAGTAGAGGCTTAACTATGAAAACGAACCTTCAGCACCTGGGCTAGGAGGAATTAAAATAGCAAGACAGGGATTTAGATTTAGGGTTAAAGTAATAGATGAGGCACCGTGAATGAGAATGACACAGGCAACAGGTTTGAAATTCACCTTCCAAAAGGAGGCTCTAGTTTGTTTAATGACACAGATCTAAATAAAAGTCAGTTTTCCAGTGGGGGACTGTGAGGGCAAGAAAAAGATGTTTATGCAGAGTTCCTCAATTTTTTATATTCTTTTAGCTTGAATTTATTATTGGTTCTTGGAATTGGAACTGGCTTAAACCACAGGTGAAATATCAAGAAAGCCCAGCTGAGAGGAAGCTTTGGAACTTTGCAGGGTCTAATAAAAACCACCTAGAGAAATGAGGTTACCTCAGGTGCCCTCACTTGCAGAGTGACAATGCTACCAGATAAGGTGCAGATGAGAAACTTTGAGCCCTAGTAACAACTAAGATTATGATTCCAGACTCAGCTGGGGCTACCAGACACAAGAAACGTGTAGTCGTTTGAGTGCAGCGGGATAAGCATAGTACAGGACTAATTTGTTCAGCTACTGTTGTAGCTTATTGCTAGTCTTTGGCAGATAGTAGTGCTCAATTGCTATAGATGTGGCCACTGATGCTACTACAGGGCTCTGTCTGACCTGTTTTTCTCTGAAATATTTCAGAAAGGTGAACATGAGCTCTAAGGCCAGAAATTAGTTCTCTTTAAAGCTATATTCTTCCTCCTCAACCTATGTGTTTAATGATTATTTTTGAATCATTAAATTTCACAGGTGAAAATTCAGGAAACTCACTCAAAAGACCATGACAATGATGTGCCCTAGGAAAGAAAAAGAAATATTCCCATTAAAACTGGTCATTATGGTGATCTGCTGGAACCATAGAACCAAGATTCACATCCCGTTTTACAGGGAATACCTAATAAAATCAAATGAATATGAATTCATATAACAAATATTTGACATCTGTGTTTTTCTCAACGATAGCAGGAAAAAAATTACAAATTATTCTCCGACTCCAAGATTTTATTTCCAATTTAGTTTACTTTTATAATAAAGTGTCGTGCAGTGAGGAAACATGGAAATATAGTGGAAATCTATATGATATTCAGAAAAGTTTTTCTATTGGTCATGCATATTATACAAATCAATAAATATACAAAAAGAATCACATTGATATTGTTTGTGGTTATAGTTGTGATATTTACTTGCAATGAGATAGGGTAGAATTGCCAAGACATCTAATCCAAACAATTATCAATGATATCTTACTTTCGAATCTATGAGATTCTATTCATTTGATGCTATTTAAATTACTATAACCTTAAGATATTTTAACTATTCAGTACTGTTGAGAAGAGGGTTATGAAGGATGTAGTGAATATTTCTAAACCAAAGTATTTCTTCTTTCTTTAGAATTGATTATAAATTGTTGTTTCATAAAGGTTAATATAATGTAAGGATAACTGTTCCCCTGACTAATAAATTAATCAGATCATTTTGATAAGTCAGAATATTTTAAAGAAGTATTTGCATATATGTGCAGAAATATATTTCTACATGTTTTAACTGTCTCAATATTGCAACTCTGTAAATTTCAGTGAATATTTTAAAAAGATGGCTGGAATGATTTCAAAAGAAAAGACACATGGATATTATGTGGCCTAGGACAAAATAATTATGCTGCAGTGTTTAATCATGTCTAATATTCATGCTAATGACCTATTTTTAGATTAGTGAACAATTGAGAGTACATTGCCATTGTTTTATCAGCGTCTTGTTATAAAGAGGCAAAAGTTTTTTTGTTTTTTGTTTTTTTCAAGACAGACTGAAGTGACAGAATTTGGCATAACATACAAACTTCGACACTCTACTTGTTAGTAAGACTTCCTTTCATAACCCTACTCCCACACATTTAAAATGTATTTTCTGATGCCCTTGACAATACGAAACAGCTTAAATATTCTGAAATCTGAAGGTGCAGTGTTAAGGCACATGCATTTTGAAAATAATAACAACTACAGGAAAAGAAAAAACCCTTCTAATGATGAGAGAGAAACTGAGTTTCTCAGATAGCATGCACTGTTTCTGGAAGATTTGACGTTCTTTCAGTGGAATTTCCAGCGACATGGAGTTTTCCTGGTACATCTATATATTTAATTAAAAGGAAGTTTATTCTAAACAAACACAGATGTTTATAGTTCTGCTTGACTGACAACATTTCTCTTTGCCAAATATTATTGTTTGGAGAGTCATTAAAGGTCTGACTAGAAACAACTCTACATTAAAAGGAGAGAATTGCAATTTAGTTTGCAGTAATTAAATCACTTGATAGCAAGTGAGGCTGAAATGGAGCAATGAATGAATATTTTTTGGAAGCTACAACACAGCTTATCAGTGACCTAAGATGTCAGCATACGTTGTTCAAGTGAGTCAGGTATCTCTGTGCATATGCACTTATTTGCCGTTAGAAAATCAACCCAATTCAGTGTGTTTGACAGAAAAATACACTACGAGACAATAGGATCTTGACCCAATGAGCAGATTTTCTTATTTCAGCATATTCTAAGAGCATTCAAAATGCATTATGCCTTGAGAGAGGAACATAATGTTTCTCATTGTACCAAGAAATGAACATAATGTTTCTCAAAATTGACCACGAAACCCCTTTCCCCCATAATGTTTCATAGTGTTGGTGGTTTGGGGGATTTGCTTCAGGATATTTTGCTTTGCAAGGTTGTTCAGGTGGTAAATCTAGTCTCTCTTTCTGACCCTTTGGAATGGATTGCCTCCCCTCCTCAAACACAAATTGGCTCTTAAAACAAATTATCTGAACTATCAGCCTGTCTCGGTGGGCGCTTCCTTGTGTGTTTATTTTCTTCTTTGGCTTGTGATTGTTCCCCTGGTACTAAGTTTTAGACTCCATGAACTTTTTATAATAGCAGAATGGCAGATTAAGTGGAGGAACCTCTTCTCTCCCTACCGCTAGTACCTAAAATAATTTGGTCTGCATACTTAGCTTCTAACCCTCCACTGTGCTCTAAAGGAGTATTGCCTATTCATGCCTAGTTTGGGTGTTTTTATGACATAGAATAGAATAAATTGAGGGAGACAGAGGAAATATAGTGGGAAGGAGATTAACAACAATACTAATAATAAAAATAATATTGCTTACTTTTCAAGGAGAGCTACTGTTTGTCAAGACTATGTATAGTAAACAAAGCTGAAACTAAAGGAATAGACATAGAAAAGGCTGTCAAGTGGCAAAATAAAAAATTCATAAAGGCAAGAGGAAAGAAATAGAAAACCTTTGCTGGGTGAAGCAGCAGGAGATGATATAGTTAGGATTAGGCTTGAATAAAGTCTTTCAGACTACTAGAGAGATGTAAAATAATTTAGGGTGAGAGTAAAGGCAATTTTGAAAAGTGTCACTGTTAAGTATGAACTGGATATCCTCTAACTGTCTGTTTAGAGATACTAGGTAAAAACCCAGATGCCTTGTTAATTACTTTTAGCTACTGGTCTATGTTTTTATGAATGAATATAACCGTATGTAAGAATAATGCCACCAGGCACCTTGAGTTACGTTTAGGTTGTATTAGCTTCTTGCATTGGCCAACCTTCTGGACCTGTGGCTCAGCTTTTTGGATTTTAGTTTTCTAGAAGTTCCTTGCCCTACCCACTGTTTTGGTTTTGACAGTCCTTTCTGCCTTGAGTAAAAAATGTCTGTATGCTTTCAAAGTCCTGCCATTCCACAAGACACTACTCCTTATCCCTGGGTTCTTTCTTCCCACCATCTTTTCCTATCCCTAGTCATTGTGATAGGGTACTTAGTTAATTCCCTTCCCCTACCTCCTTCTGGGAATTTGGAGAAGTTCTTAGATGGTACTGAAGAATTGGTTTCCCTCTTTGAAGAATTGGGTTTGTTGATCCTGTCAATCTTTGTCCGCTCTGTGCCACAGTGTTTTTAGACCAAACAGATGAAGGTTGCAATGGCAGTTTCCTCATAGCAGAGGCTCAAGATGTCAATGCCTCATCTGAGACGTCTGTCAAGTCAGGGTTCCTGGGCATAGGAAGGGTAAAATTCTGAGAGTTATGCCTATGAATATGTAGAGCCAAAAGTGGGAAATGAAAGAGAGGTTGGAAGGAGAGAGATCAGAAGCTGTGAGGCCCTGGATTGTGTAAAGTAGACCAAAGTGGGGATCAAGGATAAGTGTGTGTGGATACTAAGACCTTTGCCCTAGCAGTCAACAGATTGGAGGGTGCCATGAAGTATGCAGAGGGCAGGTGAAGACATGTGTAGATCATCCCTTTATGCAACCAGTGCTTGGAAGAATCTATATCCACCCCCTACCAGGTTGGATGTGCTGTGCCATCTGTAGAGAACTGTCAATAATATTGTAACTATGCAAAGTTCAGATATCATATTTCAAAACCTTAAAAACATGTATTTTGTTGCACCAACCTAAGAAGGTTATTCTGTCTCCAATGCTCTGTGCCAAATATTTGTTCTCATTTATGTATTACCTGAGCATGGCATGTCTCTATCAGTGCAACAATGCCTCTCTCCTCTAGGCACCCTGTGAGTTGGCAGCATGCCATGGTAATGCATCACATTTTATACCCTGTTCCAGCCTATTTGGCAAGAGAAAACTCAACAGGGTATCCTATTTATATATGCATCCTTGTTCTTTTTTTGTTATTTTCTATGATTTCTTTTATTGCTATTCCAATTTGTTTTTCATAGACTGTTTGAAGGATTCCTGTTTAAGCATTTCGCTCCCACTAAGAAGAGTCTATAAAATCCTTTGCAAATAGACATTTTTTCATGTCTAATCATTTAATCATTTTACATGTCTATTTGCAAATGGTTTTATACATAAAGAAACCTAAGAGGGATTCCCATTTAGGCTTGTTTATTGCTTATAAGACCATATAATTCTCTGTTTTCCTTTATTGTTTCTTAGGTATATTGTGACCGAAACTTAAAAAATTTTTGCATGCTAAAGTGTATAAATCTTATGATAATTATTTCATTGCTTTTATTATTATACTTTTTTAATACATTCTCTTCTTGTTAATTTTTTGTACACAGTCAAATTGAGTCTAATAACGATGTTAGATGGCATTCTGAAGAGAACTATTACATATTCATTTGTTTTTAAAATAGCACTGACTTTTTAATATAGCATAATTGAAGTTCACATTTAATTTTCTATCAAACTATCATATAATCTATGTTTCACATTACCTTGATTTATAAGCAGGTATAATTTATTTTCCTTAGAATATAATTGTTCAGTGCCTTTACATCTTATGATTTATGTTTTTATTTACACAAAAGTTATTTATCACCATGCACTTTTTACATTTGAATATTTAAGCAAGAAAAAAATTCATGTAATTTTCCAGAGGTTTCTTTCAGCTCAGCTGGCAGCAGGTACTTCGTTAGAATTTACGCCTAATCTAATGGAATTGTACACATGGAATGTACAACTTTTTCTTCCTTTATTTCTTACTGAACCTGATTAACAGACCACAGGGGGTGTTTTGAAAAATCTGAAGTTATTTGCTGCATTCTGTCTATAACACTGGAATATATGGAAATAGGGGTTGGTGGTGAGGATTTTTTCTTTAGCTTCAAATATTTAGGGAAGGCATATATTCTATTAAAAACACACAGTGAATTATTGACTATACACACACATACAGGGTAATTTATAGATCTTTTATGTGGTTGTATCATACAGTTTGCTCTGCTAAGAGGTAGGCAGCATGTAGAAACTGCCTTATGCATTTTTTCAACTGACAAAGAACTAGCATAGTAGAAACTCGGAACACCTTTATAGTAAAATTAGCTAATCAATAAACTCTATCAATTTTAGGAGACGTAGTGAGCACTTGTTATTTTTTGGCTTCTCGTATTCCTCTACTTTTCTGTTAACTTTATCTAGGTTAGCTCTGGGGACCACACTTAACCTCACACTCAGCTCCCTTGCTGAATGAAGGGCTCTTCTCGGGGTCAGAAATAGAGCTTGTGACCTACATGTAAGTCAGTCAATACATCAATCAATCAATGAATTGAGTTTGTGACTTAAATAGGTAACATAAGACTGAACAAATCTTCTATCAGAAATCTTTAGGATGATACTCTTGTTATTATGCATGGACCTGAAGCTGAGAAACACTGTAGTAATCTTTGTGACCAAAGTGGGTGGGTAGGAGATTCTGTGGCACCTGAGGATGGAGATGCACAGCCAAAGGCAGAGCAGAGAGATGGAGAAAATCAAGTGCTAGGGATGCAATTACAATGTCTGCCTAAGCTTTAGAGCCAGCTGTATACTGAGACCTATTAGCTACATGAGAAAATGCATTCTCTATTTGCTTAAATTATTTTTAGTTGAGCTTTATGTTTTTTGCGACTGAAAGATTCTTCACTGATACCAAGGGAAAATCACTAAGACTCCACCTTAGAAAAAACACACAAACTCACCTTTGTTCTCTCTTCTTCTCCAAGTATAAAATGGAATTTTACATCTCAACTGTTTAAGTAGTGGCAACCAAACTGTACCCGAACTATGCTCTCACTCAAGTACTCCTGAGAGAAGAGAGGAGAATAGAGACACAGAGCTCTAGAATAGTATGCTAGATCAAAAAGCGACACTCCAGACCTTCACTCCAAATCTTAGAATTATGCTGGATCAACCAGAGACCCTCCAGACCTCCACTCCAAATCACAAAATTATACTGGATCAACCAGAGACACTCTAGATCTCCACTCCAAATCTTAGAATTATGCTGGATCAACCAGAGACACTCCAAATCTCAATATTATGCTGGATTAACTAGAGACACTCCAAATCTTCCTTTTGAAGGAAGAGTTCTGAGGGTAGGGGAAGTTTGAAAGTCACTGGTTTAGAGAGTGTTTTTATGCTTGAAACCAAGCAGGCAGTAGCAGTACTAAAGCTTATTTATATTACTCTGTTTTAAACAGCCTAACTCCATCCAACACTACAGACTCACATGTCTATAATATTTATAATCTCTTCCCTTGATAAAAATGGCATTATTCGGTGGTAACTGAAATCACTCTACAGTTTATGACATTTTTTAACTTTCATCATTCAGTGTGTTACTTTTTTTCACCCACTGAATAATGTAAATGCTTGCTACCCTTCACATAATTTTAATATGCATGATAGACCCATTTCTTTAGCTAGTACTTTATTAATTAAGCCAAATTAAGCATTCACATTTATCCAGCGGTAGTTTAGCTTAATAGAAGAATCCATTAAATTCCTCAAAATTTTATAAATATTTAGACTTGCATTGAAATATTTTATTGATTACTAAAGGATCCAAGTCTGCCATCAACTTCCTGGTATCTTTCAATGAGACAGTTGTTATAAACAAGAAGGAGTATAATGTATATAAATGAGATTGTGCATTAAAAAAGTATTGCTTAGTGCTAGGCATACAACTCATTAGTCATCATCACAATCATAACTTTTATCAACCATCACTACCTCTTTAAGATTATCAGCTGCAAAATTATTTACAATTAAATATTTAACAAATCTATCAGTAATTATTAAGATAGATTCCCACATTACGTTAAATTTTGTATTTGAAATAATTTTAGGCTTAAAGAAAATTGGCAAAAATAATATGGAAGGTTTCCATATACCTTTCAACCAGCACCACCAATTAAGATAAATGTTCTAAATAATTTTCTCATCAATATTTAAAGCCTATAAATCTAATCGCTAATTCCCATAAAACAAATCATGTCTATACAATTATTTGGACATGCATATTAATTGTCTTAATAGCACAGTAGCCTAACGCAAAAATAGCACTAAAGCAAGTGGTTGATTATTTTTTGGCATAGCATTATAATCAACTGAACTTTGTTTATAAATCTGAGTAATTATAAATTATAACTGGAAAAATATCTGAAGTAGAATTTTGGGGGAAAAAGGTTAATAATAGGACACATATATTTATAACTGATTATAACAAGCAGAAAAAAAGGGGAAAAACCTATACTATAGAGAAAATATCTTAAATAAACAATATTTTCTTAACGCAGTTTTAAAAATTATGGAACACATTGTCAATGAAATCTATTTTTTTTTCCTTGAAAAAGTATGCCCTTTCTTGGAGATCTAAAACACATTGGTAATGGAAAATGGGAATAGATTCAAAGCTTTCTTTGGCTTCCCAATAGCTTTAAAATTCCGTAGTTGTTTCCATTGTTCTGAATACACTGAGACCAAGGATCACCTGCTATAGTCTCAAGATGCTAATCTGCATTATTAAGTTTATTCTCATGATTCTGTGCATGTATGTGCTAATACAATAACTATGAATTGCATATACATTTCACTCACTTTCCAAAAACCTGTTTGTTAACAGTAACCACAGGAACAGTTGTCTGGACATCTGTCCATGAGGAATTGGCTTGAAATGACTAACTCACTTCACAAAGAGCCACAAGAGCTCTTTGATTCTAATACTCTTTTCTCCCCATGGACTTGGGTCAAATGAAAGCCCTCATTACATTTCTCACAGGTTACAGTGTCAAAATACCTTGCTCTGTCTTAAAAACTGAAGTTTACACCTCTCTTTAATCAGCTCTTGGGATATTTATACAGTGCTAAATTATTGCAGGAGTGGGTTAAATACCATGAGAGTGGGTTGTTACGAAGCAAGTCCAGATCCTAGTACCTCTCTGTCTTGCATAGTTACTTCCTCCCTTGCCATGAAGTCACCCTAACGAAATGCTGGCAACATTTTCTTGGATTTCACAGCTTCCAGAATCATGAACCAAATAAATTTCTTTTTTTTTTTTTTAAATAAACTACCCAAACTGTATCATGTTATGGCAGCAGCAGACAGACCAAAACAGGTTATAATTAAATTTTCCTCTGGTCACTACAGGTTCCATAGTGGATTATGGACTGCCACCTGCACCTGACTTAGCAGTGTAGACTTATACTTTTGCTGATTCTCATTTCTTTTCGTGTGCTGACCCCTGATGCTGACTTCACAGTTATTCAGAAACTGTACTTTTAAAATTTACTTCTAGATAACACGAACTTGTCAAAAAGGAATTACCCTAACTTGTATAAAGCCCCAGACTCATTTCATATGTAATATATCTCTAGGATATCAGTCTATGTCACTCCCCAGTACTTTTTTGGTATAATTCAGGCCATTAACTAAATGTACTATTTAAAATAGGGCACACTTCAAGTTGCCTTTTCCTAACCCATACAGATTTTACATGGTTTGCTTAATTTCAAGCCTTTATATATAATTGCTGGCAGGATGTCGTCAATTCCTGGGAATATAACAGGAAACACAACTGAAGTGGATGATAAACAATAGCAACAAAAACAAATGTTATTTGGGAAGTAATCGTATTGGATGTTCTAAATACAAATGTGAAATCCAAGGCTTAAATGTAATTACTAATGTAAAGGTTTACATTGAAAGTCACTGATAGGTTGGTTGAGGGAGCATTTGGTATAAAAATAAAAAATAAAAATCTACACGAGGGCTAAACCTTAAAGCCTCCCTGAAGAAGAATTTCTATACTTCAGTATACATAGGAAATATTTGAGGGAATCATTAAAAATTCAGATCCTTTGGACCCATCTTCTATGTATAATAAAAATTGCCCTTGTTAAATGAGAGAAATTTATTGAAAATTATGACTAATCAAAATAATGAAAGTTATGTAATTAATGAAATACTACTTTATGAGATTGGCGGTTATGGGGAAAATAAGATATCATATATTGCTGCAACATTTTTGAAAGACACTTTAGCAGAATTTATCAAATGACATCAAGAGTCCCATAATTTTTCATTTAATAATTCTGCGATTTGAATTTAGTCTAAATGTGTATATAAACATATACACAAGAATTTCAGTTTTACACTTGTATATTGTAGCATACATTTAAAATTAAATGTCTCACAAATATTAAATTATGACAACCATGAAAAAATTACTATGTACTCGTAAGTGATTGTTTTTTACATGGGAAGATGTTTTGATTTGTGTTTTACATGGAAAGATGTTTATTGTGTTGAATGATCACTTATGATAGAAAGTAATATGCAATTTGTTATACCCATGAGACTATTTCTGGCTGTAAAGATACTGGATATTTTATCTATATCTTTTATTTGTATTTTTCCATACGTATGTTACCTATGTAAGTACAATATTTTTAATTTACAGAGAGTTAAAAAACTGATGTTTCCCAGTTGGTAAAAAGGCAGAGAAATTGATAATCCACGTAGTTTGTTAATTCTGTCAATAGTTTTAGCCATATGTGTCAAAATTCTTGGGATTATTGGGTCTAATGAATTTCTTAGAAATAAAACCAAAGGAGATAGAGATTCAGAAAAAGATAAGGGAGTTTCAAAAGTTTGTGGAAAAATGGAATTAAAAGATAAAAATAAGAAATGTAAACTTTATTTCTCAACATAAACTCCATCAAGTTCAAGATACTTTTTTAAGCAATGACACCAGCCCTTTAGTGTATCCCTAAAGAAGAGAAGGCCATGGAAATTTAACCCTGTCAAGGCAGTCTTTTCTACATTATTAACTGAAGATAAATGGGTACCATTTAAAGACCTTTTTAAGATTATGAAAAAAAAAATAAGTCAGCAGGAGTCAAACAGGACGGAAAACTTGATGCCTAATGATTTCTCCTCAAAACTCTCTGTGATTTAATATAAGAAAAACCAATCACCTTTGAGCCACTATCACATCTGTGGTAAGTTGTGTACTACACAGTGACCAAATTACGAAGAAATTAGAGGATATGGGGGAAATGTAGGGGACTCATAAATATACATCTTTAGAAGTCTAACTGCCTAGAAATTATCTAACAATGTGAAATTCCAAGGCCATGTGTCAAACTCAGAAGCAAGAATATTGCTATATTCACTTAAAATAGGTTTTCTTTCTTTTTGCACTATGCCAGCTATATGTGATTAACCATATAAAACAAATTGCTGTCAGTTTTGCTCAATGCAATTTTGTATTTATTGCATTTAGCTAAAATTCATCATCTAATTGATAATGATAACACTTATTGAGTGAAAACATTATGCCTGGCACTCTTCTAAGCATTTTACATAAATTTATCTCATGCATCTTTAGGATGAATCTATAAGGTAGGATTTATTAGAGATACTACTTTTCTGGTTCCTTGTCTTTTGGGTAGATTGTTTCATTGGAAAAATCTGGAACTCAAGGGCGGCTGTTCAGATTCTTTTGTCCCACAGGGTGATCCCTTGATGTAGTGCTCTCCCCCTACCCCTAAGAATGGAGCTTCCTGAGAGCCAGACTGCAGTGACTGTTATTGCTCTTCTGGGTCTAGCCACCCAGTATGGCTACCAGGCTCAGGGCTGGTGCTGGGGAATGCGTGCAAAGAGTCCTGTGATGTGATCCATCTTCAGGTCTCCCAGCTGTGGATACCAGCACCTCTCTAGTGGAGGTGGCAGGGGAGTAAAGTGGGCTCTGTGGGGGCCCTTGGTTGTAGTTTTGTTTACTGTGCTGGTTTTCTTGAATGCTAGTTATGTTAGCAGTGAAGTAGTCATGTGGACAGACTCAGAATCTCTAGTTAGCTAGGATGTTGCGGGAGATGGAATTAGCTATTGTTTTCTCCTTCTTTGGAGCCGGGTTGTTCTGTTATGAGTTGCTGTAACCACTTGAGTTACAGCACCAGCTGTGGTTGTAGAAGGGGGATATAACCTTGCCCTATATTAGCCTGGAAAAGTCTTCAGGTTTCTCATGCTATGGGCAGGGTCCTAGAGCTCCCTAGAGTTCATGTCTTTTGTCTTCAGCTACCAGGTTAGGTAGAGAGAAACTATCAGGTGGGGGCAGTGTTAGGAGGGTCTGAGCACAGGCATTCCTTGGGTGGAGCATGCTGTGACCAGTGTGGGGGCTGGGGGAGTGGTTCTCAGGCCACTGGGGTTATGTTTTAAGGGGGATTATAGCTGCCTCTTCTTGCATCATACAGGTTGCTAGAGAAGTGGGGGAAAGCCAGCAGTGTCAGGACTCACCCAGCTCCCACACAGCCTGCAAGGCCAATCTCACTCCCACTGTGCCCCAACAACAGCGCTGAGTTTATATCCAGGCAGCCAGTGTGCAGGGCTCACATCTTTCCCCGGGCTACACGCCTCCCCACTGAGAAAGTAAGCAGGGCTCTCAGGCCTTGCTCCTCCCTGCCTGTCCACATCATCAGCTCATCAGCTGTGGCTTCTGTGTTCATATCTGCACTTCCTGTTTGTCGCCCTTCCCCAGATGCTGCTAGGAAAATTCTTGTTCAGTCGAAATCATTGCAAAATTCAGGTAGAAGTTTCCTTCACCCTGTGGCTCCTCCCCAATTCTGCTGGCTGCCTTCCCCCAGGACCCCTGTGAGATAAAGCCAAGGATGACTTCCCTGGGCCTGAACTGGGGACTGAAAGTGCCTACAGGGATCTTTCCACTGTTTCTCCTACTTTTATATTTCACTCAGCTCCCTAAATCTGTTTCAGCTCTGGGTGAGGTTAAGTCCTTCTCCCATGTTCTGGAATTTCAGGTTCCCCAGTGGTGATATGTGTTTGGAGGCAGACTTTTCCCCCTTCTCACACTTTGAGAACTCACGGTTTTTCAGCTGTCTCATGGAGTTTGCAGCGGCAAGCCACTTCTTTCAAAGGGTCTGTGAATCCTTTCAGTTTACTTGGCATGTTTCTACAGTTATTGGAGCAAAAATTCATGATGTGAGTCTCCATACCTCATGCTGTTTGTCCAAGTGGGAGCTGCATGTTAATCCTGTCTCCTCTCTGCCATTTTCCTAATATCTCTAATAAATCCTACCTCATAGAGTCATCGTAAAAATTGCATGAGATGAATTTATGTAAAATGCTTAGAAGACTGCCAGGCATATTTTTTGCTCAATAGGTGTTATCATTATCAATTAGATGAGGGATTATAGCTAAATGCAATAAATACAAAATTGCATTGAGCAAAATAGACAGCAATTTGTTTTGTATGGTTAATCACACATAGCTGGCATAGTGCAAAAAAAAAAAGAAACTATTTTAGATGGATATAGCAATATTATTGCTTCTGAGTGTGACACATGGCTTTGGACATTCACATATGGCAAACACTTGGCAGTCCCTAATTATATTCAAGAAGAATTTTTATCAATTGGGGGCTTTCTTTGAGAAGGGTCGTTTAACAGCCGAGGGTTAAAGATTGCATTTAAAGAAAGAAAAATTGTTAGATAATTTCTGGGTAGTTAGACTTCTAAAGATGTGTATTTATGAGTCCCCTACTTTTTTCCCATATCCTCTAATTTCTTTCTAATTTGGTCACTATGTAGTACACAACTTACCACAGATGTGATAACAGCATCTTGAGGTAAGATGCTCAAGGGTGATTGGTTTTTCTCATATTAAGTGTAGTTTTTCATTATCACCGGTTTAAAGCTTGTATGATAGGATCCTTTGAATGATTTCTCAGCAAAGATTGACAAGACATTTCTGAACTATGATCTCCTTGAATAGAGGGCCAAAGCTTTTTTTCTTGTTGTTGCTGGTATTCCTCTCTGATGCTTTGGACACAATGGGGACTCTATGCTCATTGGATCAGGAAATGAGAAATAGGTTAATTCCTTGTTTGAGTCAAAATTAATATATAGCCAAAAGATTCTGTTTGTGTCATGTGAAAACTAAAGCATTTTTGGGTGGCTTGTGGAATAACCTAAAGAGATGATTGGCAAAAAATATGAAACAGTGGATAAAACAAAAAGTACCGTATGACGTTTTCTAGGACTTTCAGTTGTGATCAAAACAGATATGGTTGTTGCCCATATAAGACTTGAATCTGACACATTAGCTTAGCCATGATCACTTGCACCTCAATTCCCAAGATCAAATGCCTCATTTCCCTAATGGATCTAGGAATGATGACTTTATACTATAACATATTTTTTGCATTGTCATTACTATTAGCAGCTGAAAATAGATGATATCCTTCTCTGGGAAATATGTGATGCTCTTCTGTGTGAAACTGCCCCAAGAGTAAGCGAAGTAGGTGGTTCTGGATATCAATAAATATAAAAAAATTATTCAAAGACAATCTCAGTACATAAGATGCCATAATTAGTGACCCATTTCTTGATTTTAAGGCTACAGATGTTTGAAATATCTTTATAATGCAAGTTCACTAGGGTTTCCATCTTTCTGCTTATACTCCTCTCTGTTCTTGCATGTTTCCTTTTTTCCATTATGACCCTTAGTATATTAATCATAATTGTTTTAAATTTCCAGTCTGATAATGTCATATCAGAGTTTGGGTCCAATGCTTGTTTTGTCTCTTCTGACTATTTTTTGCCTTTTAGCATACTTCTTAAATTTTTGTTGGTAGTCAAGACATGCCAAATCAGGAATGGAGATAAACAGGTGATAGGAAGACTAAATGGGCCTGGAGTTGGGTATCTGCCTTCCACCCATTCAGTTTCATCTGGTACAAGTTGTTTAGGCTCTAATAAAATAGTGCCCTTGGGGACAGGCCTTTTTTTTTTTTTTTTTTTTTTTTCGAGACGGAGTCTCGCTCTGTCACCGGTTGAGTGAAGTGGCACGATCTTGATCTTGGCTCACTGCAACCTCTGCCTCCCGGGTTCAGGGGATTCTCCTGCTTCAACCTCCTGAGTTGCTGGGACTACAGGCACATGCCACCACACCCAGCTAATTTTTGTATTTTTTTAAGTAGAGAGGGGGTTTCACCATGTTGGCCAGGATGATCTTGATCTCTGAGGGCAGGCTTTTTTTAAAGGAGAATAGAATGCTCTAGTGGTATTTCAAAGCAGTAAATTCCTCCTTTGGTAGGAAATATGAGGAGGGTTTTCTCTGATCTTCACCTGAGAAACTGATGGGGAACTCATGAAGGTAAAACTGCTAAAAATGTGTTGGCCTCCCTAAGAATGAGACGCCAGAATTCTTAACACTCAAGCTCATCTATACTGAGCCTCCAGCAGTTTGTTAATCAGTTTTAGTTTTCCTGTCAGGTTTGACTCCAGCAGTGGGGTAATGCTCTTGGCTTCTGCTCCAATAAGCTATGAGTCTCTGTAGTCACCTGGCTATCCAATTTTCAGGAAGGGGGCTTGCCCTGTGACTTAAATTCTCTCATGGATCTAAGAAGAATTATGCATTTTGTGTTTGTTCAGCTTTTTTCTTGCAGGGAGAATGGGGAATAATGACTTTCTTGCTCTACCTGTCAGTCCAGAAACCAGAATTCCACAAGACTTTTTTGGGTGTCTTTTATCTTTCACTATCAATGAATATATAAGATGCTCCTCTAAAGGCAACCTTTGTGGCTAAGCAAGGATTGTGAAGGCCTTTGATATTTGTAAAGTGGCTATCAAGCTCATCAAAACCTATGTTTTTCCCTTTTCACTGGGCACTAAGATTATATTTTCTGTCTTCTCTGGTAGTAGGTTTATCCATGTGACTGAATTATGACCCAAAGTAATGTGAACAGAAGTGGCCTGGCCCATAACATTCTTCTGCAATAATTATGACTCTACTGCTTCATCTGCAAGCTTAATGGAAAAGACTCTGGGAATCTAGAGGGATAAGGAGCCACAAGATGGAAGAAACCAGAGTACCCTGATGGTTCTGTGGAACACAATCCATCTACCTTTCCCTCCTCCACATTAACCCACTCCGAACTGTGATGTGAGCAAGAAGTGAACTTTTCACATGTTACACGACTTAAATGTCATTGTTTGTTATGGTAGCCTACAGTGACTAATGCAAGCAGAAAAGAGGAATTTTCTCTGAGGGGAAGGAAGACACACAAAAGGGAAACTGTAGTCACATAAACAGTTACATGCGACAATCATACCCTCTAAAACTCTCTCCAGATTTATGCACAAGCCCTGCCTCCTCCAAAAGGGCCTTATAGTTCACATTCTACTACTGTTGAATTTCTGATAGCTATTCATTGTGTATTATCTCACACCATTCCTATCATATTAATTGCCCTACCTGGAAAATCCTTTCACTTTTATGTGCTCGGCTTTTTAAATTCATTCTTCAAGAGTTAGCTTGGGCATCTCTTCCAAGAAGCTTTTGCAGTGCTGCCAAGGCCAGAGTAGATGGGTAAATATTTTTTGAACTAAACTGAGTATGATTCACCTTGCTAGTCATGTGAAGGAATAAAGTTAAAAAGTAGCTGCATCAAGAAACTACATTTCCTATGACTGAGATATTGAGAACAGTGTCTGGCAGTTTGCTCGTGATCAATACTAAATATCTGTTTCATGTCTAGGATTTCCTTTGGTATAATGCAAACCCAAGGAATTGTGACACAGTGTCTGCCTTATAAAGAATTTCTATCTGGATGGAGGAGATAGGCTTCACTAACTAGGCTAGTGATTTTTAGATTTAGATGCAACAAACTCATCCTGCTCAAAATGTAGATTGTTGGTTGATTCTCATGCAAGTGCTCTGCAGACCAGAATTAGCAACACTGCACCAGTCTGTGCCCTTCCTGAATGACAATCACTTGTACCTAGTCTACTGTCTATAGGCATTCAGCCTGTGATTGAAATGAGACAATTAAGCCATGAGAGAAGAATACATACTCCAGTGAATTGAACTACATAAACTATAAGCTTGTAGGATTTCAGATAAAAGAGACTGATAGAGGCCAGCATAGTCAAAGAAGGCATCAAGAAGTTAGGATTTGAATGAGAGTATCAGAATAGAAGCCACAAGGATTGTGTACTCAGACAACTCTGGATTTGAATTACAGATCCATCACTTAGTAGCTGTTTAACTTCCCATAGCTTGTATTTTCTCTTCTGTAAAAGGGAGGTTCAAAGCAAGGCTTTGCATTTCTATTTTGAGGATTAAAGTGCCTAGCATAGTGCCTGACTCAGTGTGTTTTTCAATTCATACCAGCTATCTTTTCTCAAAGAATGAGCTCTATTTGGATAAAGTTTTATATTTTTATAGTGACAAAGGATTTCAGATATCATCTTTTAACTAGTGATCTAAATTTGTATTATTTATTGCTATAATCAGCTCATTTAATTGTGTTTCAGATATAAATATAATAAAATGAAAGTACTCTGGGTCACAGAGAAATTTAGAAGCAAAACTCAAATCTGAACAGTATAAGAAGGGATTATTAGAGGTATGCATTTTTTTATTACAACAATTGAATGGTCTTATCTAAAAAGATGTATTTTTTTCTTCAAAAGAAAATAAGTCCCAAAGTTCCTGGAACATCAGAAGAGATGTTCAGACAGCCTTCATTCCCATTTAACTGCTGGCTTTTGCTTCATTTGTGTCCTAAAATGGAGTCGTACATTACGTGGAAAAAAGAAACCAAGGACTGACCTTAGCATACACTGAAGGTTTAGGTCACATTCTTCAGAGATTATTTACCAAAAGCTTTGCTGTGTGATCAGAAATAAAAAGAAGCAAAATATGGAAAAAATATGGGCATTAAAAAAATATTAAATATCTTAGTTGAAATCTAAAAGGCAGTTTTAATCCTGAAAGAATAATAGGTAGAAAATAACACAAGGTGCAGCGCTTGTGGAAGGAAAGCCTATTCTGACTAGATTCAGGTACCTCTTCAGAGGCTGGGCCTGCAAAGTAGATACTCACAGATTGGTTAGGCTGTTCTTAGATGCTGATGGTTCTTACGAGCCCTCTTTCCTTTGTTACACAGGCTCTTTTGGTTGTGTGGCCAGCACCATTAGTTAATAAGCACAGATGTCTAAGTACCACCATGTCATTGGATCTCCAAACCCATTTCTTTGTCACCATCCAGTGCTCTTTTGCAGTAAACAAGCCCCGTTTCTTGCTTCCTGGTCTCTGTCTTTGTGCTCAGCAATACTGAGTTGCATTGATTTCCAGGAGACACCAAGGTCTTCTTTGAACCTTGCTGAAATCTTCTCCTCTCTCTGGACTGCTCATTCTGTTCACTTTCTTCATCTCTAACACATTACTGGTTAAATATTGAATCTGTCTTTAACATTTGGATCAGGCAGGCATTTTATCCAACAAGAAGAAAAATCTGACTAAACTTCCACTTCTTAGAGTCTTGGTTAGATGTTTGCAGGTAGAGAGTGGAATCATTGGAAAACTGACATCTTTATGTTATTATGTCTTTCTACTAAATAGCTTGATACCTTTCTCATTTATTGAAGTCTTTTTTTATGTTTGTAAGTGGAGGTTTATATCTTTCTTAATATAATTTTATAAACTTTATTTCTAGTTTTTGGTTTTTTATTAGCTGTTTTGACTGGGCTCTCTCATCTCTCTGTGAATATATATGTGTGTGTGTATATGTATGTATGCTTACAGGTTTTAGCTGTTATAAACTAAAACAGTAGGTTTGTAATATATATAGTTATTTGTACTGTCACTTTACTGAATTATATGTTTATGTTTAGAGTTTTAGAATTATATGTCTTTGATTTCACAGCAATATTACTAAGATCATATGCAAAAATTAAAATAAAATTTCAGATGTCAAAATCTATTTTATGACATATACTGGAAGGTTTCAGAATAATTTAAATGTTAGTATCAATGGAAAAGTTTGTTTTTTTTTTATTTTAGTGGTATTGACTCTAGTTTGAGTAAATAAATATGGTTCACAGCTTTTACTCAATAAAAGAGGATCCTCTTGAATATCTAACTGTCTACTTCTCCATTAATTACCATTAATGCCATTCCCCTGTGTTCCCAGTAAGTATAACTCTTACATCTAGCTTAATGAGTTGAATATTTAGTCACTTATTTTAATTACCTTGATTTCATAGTAAAAGCAGCAAAAGCTATGAACTTCCTGTACTTCCTTGGCTTCTTTGCAACACACATATATGTATATGTGTGTGTATATATGTGTATATATATATGTGTGTATATATATATGTGTGTGTGTATATATATAAAATGGTCATTCTTTTATGACTAGTCTGGTATCTATATTTTTGATTATGATTTTGCTCTGTTTTAAATGTATTCTTGACACATAGCAGATGTACAATAAATGAGTTCCCTCAGCTATATAGGTGAGTAGTTTGGGGAACAGTTTGTAAGTGACCGTATTTTGTTTATCCTTTTGCTATTACTTTGAAGTTTATTTTGAATATTTAGAAAAGTTTCGCTGCACATTTTTCGTTTCTATAATTGGAAAAAAATTTCATTAATGGCATATATATGAACAAATTTTATATACAGCAACTAGCAATGGAAAATATTGCATATTCTTTGTGAACAAAGTATTATCTATGATTATTATCTGATTATTATCTAAGAAATCATTCAAAAACATGTATATATATACACATGTTTTTATGTAATATTCATAGCAAGATATAACATTATTAATATTACTATTGCTTCTAGTTTATAGTTTGCTTTTGGCTTTTCTAGTATTGATAATTTCTATGTAATTGTATGCCTAGTGTGGTACTTGTATTTTAGATGTGATTTTTAGATTGAAACAAATCTTACATTTTATATATAACCTCACTTTTATTTGGATATTCTTCTCTCTAGTTTGCTTATTTTCACTGTTCTATATGGTTCTGTGCTGTTACATATATTTTCCCCATTGTTTGCTATAGATTTCAAAACTCGCTTTTTCGTGTCTTTACTGATCTGGCATTTGTGTATATTATTTTTGTGTTATTTTACTTAAAACAAATGTATATGTGTGTGTATATACATATATGTGTATATATGAAAGCTTTTCGATAGATAATTTAATTTTGTTTCTTCTTTTAACCTAAAGGATAAATATACATTGAGTAAACCAACTTGAGATCCAATATCAAGATTTTTATTTCCCCTTTCCGTTGTATCCCTTCTCTGTTTTGTTTAAATAACTTCTTAAGATTTAGATTGATATTATTCATGACTTTATGGGTTTTACACATTTTTAAGATTAGGTTTATTTCATTTTCGTTGGATATCAAGATATGTTAATATCAGTTTTTGAAATTTATTCAATTTTATCAGTTTTATGATTATTCTTTTACATTTTGCTTTCTCTTATTCAAACTTATAAAAAGGTTTGTTTATATTTTTGAATAATTATTTTCCCTAGGAGGACCATTAAATACCAGTTAGTCTTGGCGTGTGTGAAAATATTTTCCTCTTTCATCAATGAAAATTAAATTTATATAGAATTTTAGGATAAACCTTCTCCCCACCTCAAACTCTGTAAATCATTTACTATCCTCTTGCATTTAATACTTTAAAAGTCTACTGTACAACCTTGTTTTTTTTTATTTGATAAATTTTTCCCTTTAAATGATTGCAGGTCTTTATCCCCTTTTAAATATCTATTTAAATATCTATTTAGTCAGTTTGTGGGTTCTTCTGTATCTAAATGTGGATCTATGAACATCAAAATGCCTACATTAAGATCATCATCAAATTAGTTTTATCTTATAAAATATTTGTCTTGTGATTTTAAATGGTAAATTATTTTAATTCATTATTTATGTGTTGTAGTAACTAATATAGTTCTTGGCACAAAGAATGATGTACTGATTGACAAATATTTTAAGAAACACCTTGCTTTTACAATGTCATTTTGCAAGGGAGAGGTATCAAGGAAATTCCTGCTTTCTTAGAGGATCACTGTTCAAAGGAGAAGGAGGATAAAGTTGGCAATGGACCAAGCCCAGTGAAAAGAAGTTGCTACGTAGTGTGGCAATTCTATCTGGGTCTTCCCTGTTCTGGCCAGGACTTGAGTGCTCATCTTCCCTTCACTTCAGGGGATTAGACCAGAGGCCCCCAACCCTGGTACTGGTCTATGGACTAGTTCCTAACTAGTCTTAGTTAGGAACCAGGCCACACGGAAGGAGGTGAGCGGCAGGCAAGCTAGTGAAGCTTCATCTGTATTTACAGCTGCTCCCCATCACTCTCATTACCGCCTGAGCTCTGCCCCCTGTGAGATGAGTGATAGCATTGGATTCTAATAGGAGCACGAACCCTATTGTGAACTGCACATGCAAGGGATCTAGGGTGAATGCCCCTTATGAGAATCTAATGCCCAATGATCAGTCACTGTGTCCCATCACCTCCAGATGGGACTCTCTAGTTGCAAGAAAATAAGCTCAGGGCTCCCACTGATTCTACATTATGGTGAGTCATATGATTATTTCATTATATATTACAATGTAATAATAATAGAAATAAAGTGCACAATAGATGCAATGCACTTGAATTATCCTGAAACCATCCATCCCTTCCCCACCAGTCTGTGGAAAAATTGTCTCCTATAAAATTAGTCCTTGGTACCCAAAGGTTGAGGACTACTGGAGTAGAGGATAAGGTAGAGGAAGGGCTCAACTAAGTAAAATGAAGGCTGTTTCTATAACCTGAAATACATTGCTATTCTGTCTATGTGGTTTCTACCTCTGGCAATAAAATACATTATGAAATATAAAGTATTACATGATATCTAATAATCCCTTATGTGATCGAATTTATAGGTATTCTTTCTATGAAACGAAGTAAAACTTTAAATGCATTGTCACTATTATTCATTTATATATATATATAAATATATATATGTGTGTGTGTGTGTGTGTATACCACTACACTAAAACTAAATTAAAATAACATAGTCTCTATTACCTAGGCATGTCAGCCTTGAAAAATAATTCAATAATAATTTATTAAGGGCCTATTAGATGTCAGATCTGTTGTGGAGTCTGTATTACACTGATTTGAATAACACAGAAAACTGAGAAAATACCTGAGGTAACTAAACCTTGTGCGAGCTTACATTATGCAAAAGTAAAGAAATGAATATAAATATGTGGACTAAAGTTAGTATAAAAAGAAGAAGGTACAGGAACCATATCAGGATCTAAACCTTTTAGAGCTTATCAGAAATAACCTTATTTATTCCCCTTGTCTCTGTCAAATAAAAAGAAAAACAGTAAAATCCAGACAGTAAAAATGACTTGTCCATGATTAAAGAATTGGTCAGTTTTCAGCAAATGACTACACAGACCCAAGGATTTGTAACAACTACTCTATGAAATAATACCTAATATTTATTGGATTCTTATAATATACTAGGTAGGGTCATACTATCCAAATTTATCCTCTCATGAACACTAAGAAATGAGTAATAGTGACAATGCAAAGAAAACTGCAGATAGGAGGCAGGACTAACTGGCAGATGAACAGGACACCATGTGGAGACTCATATTGTGAACTCTTGCTCCAAGAAATACTGCAGGAACATATCAGGAAAGCTGAGAGAATCCACAGACCCTTTGAAGGAAGCAGCCTGTCTCTGCAGGCTCCGCAAGGCAGCTGAAAAACTGAATGCCCAAAGTGTGAGGGGGAAATGTCTACCCCTGAACACACATGTTCATTGGGGAAACTGAAGGTCCAGATCTCAGGAGAAGGACTTGACCTTACCTGAAGCTGAGATGAATTTAGAGATCTGAGCAAAATACAGGGGTAGACGAAGCAGCAGGAGAAGCCTTGTGGGCACTCTTAGCCCTAGGGAAGTCATTTCTGACTTTGTCTCACAGCAATCTTTGGGGTGGGCTGCCAGTGGAACGGGGGAAGGACCACAGGAAGAAAGAAAATTCCAGTTGAACTTTGTAACAAAGTTACTAAGTTGCCTGCGCAGATCCTAGGTGAGGGGGTAAACCAGGAGTGCAGATACCAGCATAGAAGCCACAGAAGCCATGGTAGGCAGGGAGGCTGAAACCTGAAAACCCTGCTTGCTTTCTCAGCAGGGAGGCTTGTAGCCTGGGATAAGTTCTCAGCCATGCTCAACAACTGCCTGGAAATAAACTCAGTGCTGTTTGGGGGACACAGTGGGAGTGCGACTGGCCTTTCAGGCTACGTGGGAGCTGGGTGAGGCCTGTCACTGGGGGCTTTCCCCAACTTCCTTGGCGACCTGTATGAAGCTGCAGAGGCAGCCATAATCCCACTGGGAACATAACTCCATTGGCCTGAGAACAACACCCCCAACCCCACATTGGCCACAGCAAGCCCTGCCAAAGGAGAGTCTGAGCTCAGACCCCATGCCCCACAGTAGCCACAGCAAGCCCCGCCTAACCCTGCCCCAACCTGATGATCTTTCTCTACCTGACCTCTTAGCCGAAGACAAAAGACAATCTCTTGGGAGCTCGGTAGCACTACCCACCACCTGAGAAACCCAAATACTTATCCAGGTGACCTTAGTGCAATCTTGTATCCTCCTGATACTAGCTGACAGCTGCTGCTGTCTTGAAAGTGCTGCCTCCTCCTAGCAAGAGGACAACTGATGCAAAACTAGCACACTAAACAAAACTACAACCAAGGACCCTCACAGAGTCCACTTCACTCCCCTGCTACCTCCACCAGAGCAGGTGCTGATATCCACAACTGAGAGACTTGAAGATGGATCACAACACAGGACTCTGCAGAAACCCCCCAGTATGAGCCCAAAGCCAGGTAACTCTGCTAGGTGGCTAGACTCAGAGGAGAAATAACAATCCCTGCAGTTTGGCTCTCAGGAAGTCCCATTGCTAGGGAAAGTGGGAGAGCACCACATCAAGGAAGCACCATATGGGACAAAAGAATCTTATCAACAATCCTGGAGCCCTAGATCTTCCCTTTGACATAGTCTACCAAAATAAGAAGGAACCAGAAAAACAATTCCTGTAATATGACAAAATAAGGTTCTTTAACACCCCCAAAAGATCACCAGCAATGGATCCAAACCAGGAGAAAATATCTCTGAATTGCCAGAAAAATAATTCAGAAGGTTGGTTATTAAGCATATCAAGAAGGCACCAGAGAAAAGTGAAGTCCCATTTAGAGAAATCAAAAACGTGATGCAGAATATGAAAGGAAAAATCTTCAGTGAAATAGCACAGATAAAAAAAATCACAACTATATAGGAGGGATATGTTTAGAGAAATGAAAAATGCATTGGAAAGTCTTAGCAATAAAATTGAACAAGTAGAAGAAAGAACTGCAGAGCTCGAAGGCGAGGCTTTTGAGTTAACCCAGTCCAGCAAGGACAAAGTAAAAAGAACAACAACAACAACAACAAAAATGAACAAAGCCTCCAGGAGGTTTGGCATTATGTTAAATAACCAAACATAGGAGTAATTGGCATTCTCGAGGAAGAAGACAAATCTACAAGTTTGGAAAATATATTTGAGGGAGTAATCAAGGAAAATTTTCCTGGCCTTGCTGGAGACCAAGACATCCAAATACAAGAAGCTCAAAGAACGCCCAGGAAATTCATGGCAAAAAAGATCATTGCCTAGGCATATAATCATCAGGTTATCTAAAGTCAAGTCAAAGGAAAGAATCTTAAGAGCTGTAAGGTAAAATCATCAGGTTACCTATAAAGGAAAACCTATCAAATTAACAGCAGATTCTTAGCAGGAACCCTACAAGCTAGAAGGGATTGGAGCCCTATCTTCAGCCTCCTTGAACAAAACAACTATCAGTCAAAAATTTCGTATCCAGCGAAACTAAGCTTCATAAATGAAGGAAAGATACAGTCTTGTGGGAAGTCAGGGACCCCGAAGGGAAGGACAGGCTGGAGCCATGGCAGAGGAACATAAATTGTGAAGATTTAATGGACATTTATCACTTCCCTAATAATACTCGTATAATTTCTTATGCCTGTTTTACTTTAATCTCTTAATCCTGTTATCTTCGTAAACTGAGGATGTACATCACCTCAGGATCACTGTGATGATTGTGTTAACTGTACAAATTGATTGTAAAACGTGTGTTTGAACAATATGAAATCAGTGCACCTTGAAAAAGAATAGAATAACAGCAATTTTTAGGGAACAAGGGAAAACAACCTTAAGGTCTGACTGTCTGCATGGTCGGGCAAAAAGAGCCATATTTTTCTTCTTGCAGAGAGCCTATAAATGGACGTGCAAGTAGGAGAGATATCGCTAAATTCTTTTCTTAGCAAGGAATATTAAGACCCTAGGAAAAGAATTGCTTTCCTGGGGGGAGGTCTATAAACGGCCACTCTGGGAGTGTCTGTCTTATGTGGTTGAAATAAGGACTGAAACACGCCCTGTTCTCCTGCAGTACCCTCAGGCTTATTAGGTTGAGGAAAAAAACCACTCCCTGGTAAATTTGAGGTCAGATCCGTTCTCTCCTCTCGAACCCTGTTTTCTGTTGTTTAAGATGTTTATCAAGACAATATGTGCACAGCTGAACATAGACCCTTATCAGGAGTTTTTTATTTTGCCCTTTGCCTTGTGATCTTTGCTTTGCCCTTTGCCTTGTGATCTTTATTGGCCTCAGAATCATGTGATCTTTGTTCTCCTTTTTGCCCTTTGAAACATGTGATCGTTGTGACCTACTCCCTGTGTGTATAACCCCTCCCCTTTTGAAGTCCTTAATAAAAACCTGCTGGTTTTGAAGCCCTGGTGGGCATCACGGACCTACCAATATGTGATGTCATCCCCGGCGGCCCAGCTGTAAAATTCCTCTCTTTGTACTCTTTCTCTTTATTTCTCAGATCGGCCAACATTTAGGGAAAATAGAAAGAACCTACGTTGAAATACTGGGGGCAGGTTCCTCCAATACAGTCTTTTTCAGAAAAACCAGTGCTGAGAGAATTCAGCACTCCCAAGTCAGCACTACAAGAATTGCTAAAAGGAGCTCAAAATCTTGAAACAAATTCTCAAAATATACCAAAATAGAAGTTCCTTATAGTATAAACCTTACAGGACCTGTAAAACAATAACACAATTTTTTTAAAAAAAAGGTATTCAGGCAACAACTAGCACAATGAATAGAATAGTACCTCACATCTGAATACTAAGATTGAGTATGTATAGCCTAAATGCTCCACTTAAAAGACCAAAAAAAAAAAAAATGGCACAATGGATATGAGTTCATCAACCAAGTTTCTGCTGTCTTCCAGAGACTCATCTAATGTATAAGGACTCACATAAACTTAAGGTAAAAGGGTGGAAAAATGTATTTTATGGTAATTGAAACCAAAAACAAGCAGGAGTAGCTATTCTTATATCAGACAAAACAGACTTTAAAGCAACAGTTAAAAAAGACAAAGAGGGACATTATATTATGATAAAAGGATTAGTCCAAAAGGAATACATCACAATCCTAAATATATATGCACCTAACACTGGAGTTCTCCAATTTATAAAAGCAATTACTACTAGACCTAAGAAATGAGATAGATGGCAACGCAATATTAATGGAGGACATCAGTGCTCCACTGACAGCACAAGACAGGTTATGAAGACAGAAAGTCAACAAAAACAATGGGCTTAAACTATACCCAAGAACAAATGGACTTAAGAGATATTTACAGAACATCCTACCCAATAATGGCAGAATATCCTGTCTGCTACTGTCTCAATAATTTTAAGAAAATCAAAATTATATCATGCACTTTCTTAGACCACAGTGGAATAAAACTTGAAATCAACTCCAAAAGGAATGCTTCAAACCATGCAAATAACCTTCCCTTGAACAATCATTGGGTCAACAATGAAATCTGATGGAAATTAAAAAGTTCTTTGAATTGAATGATAATAGTGACACACCTTTCTAAAGCTGTGGAATACAGCAAAAGCAGTGTTAAAAGGAAAGTTCATAGTATTAAATTTCTATGTCAAAAAGTCTGAAAGAGCACAAATAGGCAATCTAAGCTAAGACCTCAAGGAAATAGAGAAACAAGAACAAACCAAACCCAAATCCAGCAGAGTAAAATAAATAAAAAGATCAGAACATAACTAAAGGAAATTGAAACAAACAAGCAAAAAACAATACAAAAGATTAATGTAACAAAAAGCTGATTCTTTTGAAAAGATAAACAAAGTCGATACACCATTAGCAATATTAACCAAGAAAAGAAGAGGGAAGATCCAAATAAGCTCAATGAGAATCAAAATAGGAGATATTACAACTGATATCACAGAAATACAAAATATCATTCAAGGCCACTATGAACACTTTATGCACACAAACTAGAAAACCTAGAGGAGATGGATAAATTATACAACCCTCCTAGATTAAACCAGGAAGAAATCGAAACCCTGAACTAACCAATAGTAAGCACTGAGATCGAAATGGTAATAAAAAAAATTGCCAACAAAAAATCCAGCTGAATTATTTCAGACATTGAAAGAAGAATTGGTACCAGTGCTATTGACACTATTCCAAAAGCTAAAGAGGAAATCCTCTCTAACTCACCCTATGAAGCCAGCATCACCCTAATACCAAAACCAGGAAAGAAATAAAAAAAAAAACTGCAGACCAATATCCCTGATGAACATAGATGCAAAAATCCTCAACAAAAGTCTAGCTAACCGAATCCAACAGCTTATCAAAAATAATAATGATAATCCACCATAACCAAATGGGCTTCATAGAAGGGATGCAGGGATGATTTAACATATGCAAGTCAATAAATGTGATACACCATGTAAACAAAATTAAAAATAAAAATCACATGATCATTTCAATAGATGCAGAAAAAGCATTTGACAAAATCCAGCGTCCCTTTATGATTAAAACTCTCAGCAAAATCAGCATAGAAGGGACATAACTTAAAGTAATAAAAGCCATCTATGGCAAACCCACAGCCAACATTATAATGAATGGGGAGAAGTTGAAAGCATTCCCCCTGAGAACTGGAACAAGTCAAGGATACCAACTTTCCTCACTTCTATTCAACATGGTACTAGAAGTCCTTGCCAGAGCAATCAGAGAAAAGAAAGAAATAAAGGGCATCCAAATCAGTAAAGAGGAAGTCAAACTGTTGCTGATCACTGATGATATGATCATACATGTAGAAAACCCTAAAGACTCATGCGAGAAGTGCTTAGAACTGATATATGTATTCAGTAAAGTTTCAGGATATAAAATTAATGCACACAAATCAATAGCACTGCTATGCACCAATAACCACCAAGCTGAGTATAAAATTAAAAACTCAAACCCTTTTACAAAGCTGTGAAAAAACAAACAAAACAAACAAACAAAAAATCCTTAGGAATAAACCTAGCCAAGGAGGTGAAAGAACTCTACAATGAAAACAACAAAACACTGCTGATAGAAATCATAGACAACACAATCCAATGGAAACACGTCTCATGCTCATGGATGGGTAGAATCAATATTGTGAAAATGACCATACGGCCGAAAGCAATCTACAAATTCAATGTAATTCCCATCAAAATACCACCATCATTCATCACAGAACTAGAGAAACAATCCTAAAGTTTATATGGAGCCAAAAAAGAGCCTGCATTGCTAAAACAAGACTAAGCAAAAATAACAAATCTGGAGGCATCACATTACCCAACTTTAAACTACAGTGTAAGGCTATAGTCACCAAAACAGCATGGTATTGGTATAAAAATAGGCACATAAGCAAATGAAACAAAATAGTGAACCCAGAGATAAACCCAAATACTTACAGCCAACTGATTTTTGACACAGCAAA
Organism: Homo sapiens; assembly: GCF_000001405.40. Classification (NCBI taxonomy): domain Eukaryota; kingdom Metazoa; phylum Chordata; class Mammalia; order Primates; family Hominidae; genus Homo; species Homo sapiens. The sequence continues at coordinate 51,182,374 of NC_000002.12, forward strand.
CAAAAACATAAAGTGGGGAAAGTACACCCTGTTCAACAAATGCTGCTGGGATAATTGGCAAGCCACATGTAGGATAGTGAAACTGTATCCTCATCTCTCACCTTATATAAAAATCAACTGAAAATGAAGGAAAGACTTAAGTGTAAGATCTTAAATCATAAAAATTCTAGAAAATAATATTGGAAAAACCCTTGTAGACATTGGCTTAGGCAAAGAATTTATTACTAAGAACCCAAAAGCAAATGAAACAAAAACAAGGATAAATAGATGGGACTTAATTAAACTAAAAAGCTTCTGCACAACAAAAGAAATAATCAGCAGAGTTAACAGACAACCCACAGAGTGGGAGAAAATATTTGCAAACTATGCCTCTGACAAAGGACTAATATCCAGAATCTAGGGGAAATCAAACAAATCATCAAGATAAAAACAAACAATCCCATCAAAAAGTTAGCTAAGGATATGAACAGATGCAATTCTCACAAGAGGATATGCAAATGGCCAACAAACATATGAAAAAATGCTCAACATCACTAATTATCAGGGAAATGCAAATCAAAACTACCATGTGATGCCACCTCACTCCTGCAAGAATGGCCTTAATAAAAAAATAAAAATAATAATAGATGTTGGTGTGGATGTGTTGAAAGAGGAATGCTTTTGCACTGCTGGTGGAAATGTAAACTAGTGCAACCACTATGGAAAACAATGTGGAGATTCCTTACAGAACTAAAGTAGATCTACCACTTGATCCAGCAGTTCCACTACTGAGTATCTAAACAGAGGAAAAAAAGTGATTATACAAAAAAGATACTTGAACATGCATGTTTATAGCAGCACAATTCACAATTGCAAAAATATGGACCCAGCCCAAATGCCTGTCAATGAATAAATGGATAATGAAAATGTGTTATATATATACCATGGAATACTACTCGGTTATAAAAAGGAACAAAATAATGGCATTTGCACCAACCTAGATGGAATTGGAGACCATTATTCTAAGTGAAGTAACTCAGTAATGGAAAACCAAACATCGTATATTTGTGGGAGCTAAGTTATGAGGATGCAAAGGTATAAGAAGATACAATGGACCTTGGGTACTCAGGGGAAAGGGTGAGAGGGAGGTGAGGAATAAAGGACTACACATTAGGTATAGCATACACAGGATAAGTATATCAAAACACTTATGTGGTATATGTTAAATATATGCAATAAAACAGTGAAAAAAGAAAAAAACATCATTATTCAAGTCAAAAAGTAGAAAATCGTCAGCACCCACAGAAGACCCCTCAGATCCCTCCCAATCACTGTACTCTGTCTTGCTTTCAAGAAAGCACTAACTATCTTACCATTATGGTCACTTTCCTGCTTTTCTTTAGAGTATGCACACCTTATTTCTGTTTCCCAATGATAGGTTATCTTTGTTATTTCATGTGGCTATATAAAGTCATTTTCAATGCTTTATTCTTATAGTGTAGCAACATATCCCAATTTAATTATCCATTCTTCTGTTGTGGACATTTAGTTTGTTACTTTTGCTATATAAATAAGATACATGCATACATACATTTGTGTTATGTATATACTGAGGATTGAAATCACTGAGTCATATTATATGCAAATCTTCAACTTTAGTAGATAATGTCAAACTGATTTGTAGGTTTGTGAAAATCTACACTCCCGCCAAGGGAGTATGAGAGATCTCTAATTTACTTTTTTGCCAAAACTTGGTGGTGTCAGTCTTATTCTTAATTTTAGCCACCCTGATGTGGTCATACATAGTAGTAACTGGGATTTTAATTTGCAAGTCCTTATGAGTAACGAAGTTGAGAAATTTTTCACATATTTATTGGCCCTTTTGATGCTCTCTTTTGAGTATGCCCACTCAAGTTTACTGATATCTTGGTTATTACTGGTCTTTCTTTCATATGTAAATTTCTGAATCAGATTGTCAGGTTTCACGAGAATAAACATAAGTAAATAAATATATAAATAAATAATAAAATCTCTTGAGTTTTGTATTGGGATGTAATTAAATATGTAGGTTAGTTTGGAGAGAAATTATAACTTTATAATATCTAGTCTTCCAAATCATAAACATACCATTTCATAGAGTCCTCTTAAATTTTTATCTAATTAATGTTTTATAGCTTTCTATATAAAGGTCTTAAATATTTTTTAAAAAACAATTTATTCTTAGTTGATATTTTGATGCTACAGTAAATGGTATCCTTTTATATTATTATCTAAATATGTTTTATTTTCATATAAATAAATTTATATGAAATATAATTAAATTTCTATATTGACTATGTATTTAGCAAACTTGCTACATCATGTAGTCTAACAATTGTTTTGTAGATTAGTTTGCATCTTCCATGTACGTAAGCATGTCATATGCAAATATGACAGTTTCATTTCTTCCTTTTCAGTGCTTAAATTTTTTGTCTTATTGTTCTAGCTAAGACCCCCAGTATAATGTTGAGTAGAAATAATAAGCATGGTAATCACCTATAAATTATTGTCATCTAAAAACTTTCAACCTAACACTTTGCTATCAGTTATGTATTATTTAGATGCTATTTGTTGGTTTTAGAAAGTTCTACTTTCCTCCCATCAGAGATGAAGAGAAGGAGAAGGGAGAGGATCAGGAAAAATAATTAATGGGTACTGGTCTTGAAACCTGGGTGATGAAATAATCTGTATAGCAAATCCTCATCACACAAGTTTACCATATAACAAACCCTGCATGTGTGTATCTGAACTTAAAAGTTAAATAAAAACGTTCTACATTCTTCATTTTCTAAATTTGTATGTTTAACTATAAATAGGTTTTGAATATTATCTGTTTTATATGAATTTATTGAGATCATCATAGATTTTTTTCCTTTTTAATACATTACATTCATTGATTTCCAAATGTTAAACCAATTTGCATTCTAAAATATACCAAATTTGTTCATGATGGATAATCCTTTAAAAATATAAATGTATGTGTGTGTGTGTGTGTGTGTGTGTGTGTGTGTGTGTGTGTGTATTTCAAAATGTATTTAACCTTTTATTTTCTACTTCTGGCTTTTAATTATATGTTTGTTTCCAAAATTAATCTATTTTTTTAAATGTCCTTCACCTGTTTATTACCACGGTTATATCAACAGCTTAAGATAGGTTAGAAAGTTTTCTAGGCTTTAGAAGAGTATGGGTAATATTGGTCATATTTCCATTTTAAGTGTTTAGTAGATTTTACTGCTGAAGCCAGATAGGGCTAGGGTTTTGTTCTGGAGGTTTTATATTATGAATTCAATTTATTTAATAGCTTAAATCTATCTTATTTTTCTATTTCTTCCTATTGTCAGTATTGGTACCTTCAGTCTTTCTAGAATTTTATGTGTTTCATAAAAATTGTTGAATATGCAGTATTTGCAGAAAGTTTTTTAATAATATTTCCTTTACTTTTGATCAGTCTTTATCATCCTTACCCAAATTTAACAGTTTTAGTAATCTTATCAAATAATCAACTTTTACATTTGTTGATCCTCTCTATTTTAAGATTTTATTCTGTTGTATGAATTTTCTGCTCTTCTATTATTTCCTTCATTCTTTAATTATAATTTGATGTTATTTTCTTAAATCCTGTAAATAGATCATTGAATTTCAGTTTATCTTATTTTCTAACATATGCATGTAGATTAAAAAGTCTCCATCTAAGTACAGCTTTAACTGCATGTCACAAGTTTTGATATATAATATTATCGTTTTTATTAAGTAAATATTTCCTAATTTTTCGCATAATTTTGTCTTGCACTAATAAATTATTAAAAAGTAGATGTCCTAATTTTTTAAAGTATAAGAGTCTCCACTTTTCTTTTTGTTTAGAAGTTTCTAGTTTAATTACACCGTGATCACTTTATCACTAGGCCAAATTTTAAAATGTTCTGTGCGTACTTGAGAAGAATGTGTATTCTGCAGCTAATAGGTATAGTTTTCTATCAAGAACTGTTATAGAAAACCTAATTACTAAGATTTCCCATCCTATTATCTTTATTGATTTTTTTTTTTTTTTTTTGAGATGGAGTCTCGCTCTGTTGGCCCAGGCTGGAGTGCAGTGGTGCGATCTTGGCTCACTGCAACCTCCGCCTCCCAGGTTCACGCCATTCTCCTGCCTCAGCCTCCCGAGTAGCTGAGACTACAGGTGCCCGCCACCACGCCTGGCTAATTTTTTGTATTTTTAGTAGAGACGGGGTTTCACCTTGTTAGCCAGGATGGTCTCGACCTCCTGACCTCGTGATCCACCTGCCTTGGCCTCCCAAAGTGCTGGGATTACAGGAGTGAGCCACTGTGCCTGGCCTCCTTATTGATTCTTTTGTCTGCTTTTATATCACTAGCTCCAGAAGGTATAGAAAGCTCTCCACTAATGACATAAATATGTGCATTTCTCCTTGAAGTTCTAATAAATTTCACTTTAGTTTTTGAGGCTGTATTTTAAATTCTGAAAATTTAGTGCTTATATGAATTTTGGTTACTTGAACATTTTTATTTTTACAAAATACCAATTTTTATCATTAAAATGCTTTTTGTCTTACAGTCTAATTTCTCTTATGTTAATATGGCTTTATCAGCTTTTTTGCTATTATTGTTCTTATGATAAATATTTTTTATCTTTTTACTTTTAACATTTCCATATATATTAATATGACCTTGTAATTACTATAGAGTGCAGTTTTGATTTCTGTTAACTTTGAAAATCTTTGTCTTTTAAATATTTTATTTAATTCATTCATATTTAATGTAAATATTGATGCATTTGGATTTTAATAAACCATACTTCTATATTTATGTTTCTTCTCTTTGTAGCTTTTTTGTTGTTTTTATTGATTTTTATTAATTTTTTATTATTCCATTTCCTTCTGTTAGTGTAAAGATTATATTCATAATTTTATTAGTTATGCTGGGGCCCATAAAATGATATTCCAAAGTAAAGGCCTCAGAACAAGCCTCTGAAACAAAGTCTTTCTCTGACCTTCTCCTGCCCTCCTAGCTCTCACTCTTCTTTCTCCCCTGAGGCAAGCCGTAGAAACTAGAATCCATCTTTCCCCAAGGTAGTTCATAGGAACCAGAACCCCCTTCCTACAAAGCTAGCCATGAAAGTTAAAATGTGACTCTAACCTTTCAGTGATTTTCTCTCTAGGAGCCAGCCATAAAGAAGTTCTCTGACCTACCCTTGTCTGTTAGTAGGTCGTAAGACTCTCATTTCAGAGGGGTCTTACCCTCTGCCTGGGAGAAGAAAAAATAGTGCTACACAGAGAGGCAAAAAAATAATGTGAACAGACAAGGCTTACTAGGGTTCCTCCATTCGGTCTATTAACATTAGATAACAGCCTTTTTATCCAATCATATTTCTACCTGGTTATCCATTCATCATGGAAGCTAAGCATAAAAATGAGTAGTTTTTTCTATGTCTTCGAGTCTTCATTTTTCAAGGCTCCCATGTCATGTAAAATTTGGTTGAGCAAATCTGTTCTGCTTTTCTCTTTTTAATCTGTCTTTTTTTGCAGAGTGCTGAACGTGATGTGATTCTTTTAATGAGGAAAAAAGGTATCTCATCCCTTCCACCCTCTCCATTTCCTATAAAAATTACAACATGGCTCTTTGACATATCAAAGTCTAAGACTGATATTTTTCTAAAGATAGTGCCAAGACCTTAGAATACATGAAATCCACTTGCCTTATATGCTAGTGTTGTCATGTATTTTAAGTGAATATATATTCACTTAATATATATTAATTATATATAATATATAATATATTAGCTATATATAATTATATAATAATATATAATAGATATTAATTATACAAATATATTTATATATTCACATATATATTCTTTCAACTTTTATATTAAGTTTTAAGTTCAGGAGTATATGTGCAGGATGTGCAGGTTTGTTACATAGGTAAACATGTGCCATAGTGGTTTGCTGCACAGGTCATCCCATCACGTAGGTATTAAGACCAGCATCCGTTAGCTATTTTTCCCTGATGCTCTCCCCTGCTCCCCTGACAGGCCCCAGTGTGTGTTCTCTACCATGTGTCCATGTGTTCTTATCATTCAGGCATGCAGTATTTGTTTTTCTGTTCCTGCGTTAGTTTGCTGAGGATAATGGCTCCCAGCTCCATCCACGTCCCTGTAAAGGACATGATCTTGTTCCTTTTTATGGCTGAACAGTACTCCGTGGTGTATATGTACCACATTTTCTTTATTCAGTCTATCACTGATGGTCCTTTAGGTTGATTGCATGTCTTTGCTATTGTGAATAGTGCTGCAATGAACATATGTGTGCATGTATCCTTATAATAGAATGATTTATATTCCTTTAGGTGTATAACCAATAATGGGATTGCTGGGTCAAATGTTATTTCTGCCTCAAGGTCTTTGAGGAATTGCCACACTGTCTTTAACAATGGTTGAACTAATTTACACTCTCATCAATGGTATAAAAGCATTCCTTTTTCTCTTCAACCTTCCCAGCATCTATTGTTTTTTGACTTTTTAATAGTAGCCACTCTGAGTGGTGTGAGATGGTATCTCATTGTAGTTTTGATTTCCATTTTGCTAATGGTCAGTGATGTTGAGCTTTTTTTCATATGTTTGTTGGCCACATGTATATCGTTTTTTGAGAAGTATCTGTTCATGTCCTTTGCCTGCTTTTTAATGGGTTTTATTTTTTTCTTGTAAATTTGTTTAAGTTATTTGTAGACTCTAGATATTAGACCTTTGTCAGATAGATAAATTGCAAAATTTTCTCCCATTCTGTTGGTTGTCTGTTTACTCTGAGATAGTTTATTTTGCTGTGCAGGAACTCTTTAGTTTAAGTAGATCCCATTTGTCAATTTTTGCTTTTGTTGTAATTGCTTTTGGTGTTTTTTTCATGAAATCTTTGCTCATGCCTATGTCCTGAATGATATTGCCTAGAATTTCTTCTAGGGTTTTCATAGTTTTGAGTTTCACACGTAAGTCTTTAATCCATCTGGAGTTAATTTTTGTATATGGTGTAAAAAAAGATCCAGTTTCAATTTTATGCATATGACTAGCCAGCACTCCTAGAACCATTTATTAAATAGAGTCCTTTTTCCATTGCTTGTTTTTGTCAAGTTTGTTGAAGATCAGGTGGTTGTGGCTGTTTGGTCTTATTCCTGTGTTCTCCAGTCTGTGCCATTGGTCTGTCCATGTGTCTCTTCTTGTACCAGTACCATCCTGTTTTGGTTGCTGTAGCATTGTTAAAAACAGGTAGTGTGATGCCTCCAGCTTTGTTCTTTTTGCTTAGGATTGTCTTGGCTTTATGGTCTGTCTTTTGGTTCCATATGAATTTTAAACTAGTTTTTTCTAATTCTGTGAAGAATGTCATTGGTAGTTTAATGGGAATAGCATTGAATCTGTGATTCTTACTATCCATGAGCATGGATTGTTTCTCCATTTGTTTGTATCCTCTCTCATTTCTTTGAGCAGTGGTTTGTAGTTCTCCTTGAAGTGGTCCTTCACTTACCTTGTAAACTGTATTCCTAGGTATTTTATTCTTTCTGTAGCTACTGTAAATCGAAGCTCATTCATGATTTGGCTGTCTGGTTGCCTGTTGTTGGTGTATAGAAATGCTAGCAATTTTCACACATTGATTTTGTATCCTGAGCCTTTGCTGAAGTTGTTTATCAACTTAGGAAGCTTTAAGTGTAAGAAGCTTTTGGCCTGAGACAGTGGGGTTTTTCTAGATATAGGATCACGTCATCTGCAAACAAAGATATTTGACTTCTTCTCTTCCTATTTGAATATCCTTTATTTCTTTCTCTTGCCTGAGCGGCCTGGCCAGAACTTCCAGTGTTATGTTGAATAGGAGTAATAAGAAGAGGGGATCCTTGTTTTGTGCTGGTTTTCAATGAGAATGCCTCCAGTTTTTGCCCATTCTGTATAATATTGACCGTGGTGTGTCATACATGGCTCGTATTATTTTGAGATGTGTTCTTTCAATACCTAGTTTATTGAGAGATTTTTAACATGAAACAATGTTGAATTTTATCAAAGGGCTTTTCTGCATCTATGGAGATAGTCATGTGGTTTTTATTTTTAGTTCTGTTCACGTGATGAACATCATTTATTGATTTGGGTAGGTTCAACCAACCTTGCATCCCAGGGATGAAGCCAACTTGATCGTGGTGGATAAGCTTTTTGATGTGCTGCAGGATTTGATTTGCCAGTATTTTGTCGAGAATTTTTTCATTGATCTTCATCAAGGATATTGGAGTTGTTGTTGTTGTTGTTGTTGTTGTATCTCTGCCGGGTTTTGGTATCAGGATAATGCTGGCTTCATAGAATGAGTTAGGAAGGAGTCCCTCCTCTTTAATTTTTTTGTGAATAGTTTCAGTAGAAATGGTACCAGCTCATCTTTGTACCTCCAGTAGAATTCAGCCATGAATCTGTCTGATACTGGGCTTTTTTTGGTTAGTAGGCCTGCCTCAGAACTTGTGAGTGGTCTATTCAGGGATTTGATGTCTTTCTGATTTATTCCTTGGTGGGTGTATGTGTCTGGGAGTGTATTCGTTTCTTCTAGATTTTCTAGTTTATATGCATAGAGTTATTTATAGTATTCTCTGATGGTTGGTTGTTTTTCTGTAGGGTCAGTGGGGATATCTCCCTTATCATTTCTGATTGTGTTTATTTGCTTCTTCTCTCTTTTCTTCTTTATTAGGCTAGCTAGTGTTCTATTTATTTTATTAATTTTTTCAAAAGAATAGCTCCTGGATTCATTGATTTTTTGAAGGGTTTTTTTGTGTATCTATCTCCTTCAATTCAGCTCTGATTTTGGTTATTTCTTGTGTTCTGATAGCTTTGGGGTTTGTTTGCTCTTGGTTCTCTTTTAGTTTAGTTTGCTCTTGGTTGCTCTTAGTTCTTTTAGTTGAGATGTTAGTTTGTTAACTTGAGATATTTCTAGCTTTTCAGTGTGGGCAATTAGTGCTATAAATTTCACTCTTAACACTGCTTTAGCTGCTTCCCAGAGATTCTGGCACGTTGTCTCTTTATTCTCATTAGTTTCAAAGAACTTCTTGATTTCTTCATAATTTCATTATTTACCCAAGAGTCATTCAGTAGCAGTTTGTTCAATTTCCATGTAGTTTTGTGTTTGGAGTGAATTACTTAATCTTGAGTTCTCTTTTGACTGTTCCATGGTCTGAAGGCTACTATGATTTCAGTTCTTTTGCATTTGCTGAGGAGTGTTTTACTTCTGATTATGTGATCAATTTTAGAGTAAGTGCCATGTGGCAATGAGAAGAATGTATATTCTGTTGAATTTGGGTGGAGGGTTCTGTAGATATCTACCAAGTCTTCTTGATCCAGAGCTGAGTTCAGATCCTGAATATCTTTGTTAATTTTCTGTCTTGATGATCTGTCAATATTGACAGTGGTGTTAAAGTCTCCCACTATTATTATGTGGGAGTCTAAGTCTCCTTGTAGGTCTCTAAGAACTTGCTTTATGAATCCAGGTGCTTTTGTATTGGGTGCATATATATTAAGGATAGTTAGCTCTTCTTGTTGAACTCTGTACCATTATGTAATGCCCTTTTTTGCCTTTTTTGATTTTTGTTGGTTTAAAGTATGTTTTGTCAGAACATAAGATTGTCAGAACGTAATCTTATGTCAGAACATAAGATTGCAACTTCTGCTTTTTTCTGATTTCCATTTGCTTGGTAAATTTCCCTTCATCCCTTTATATTGAGCCTATGTGTGCCTTTGCACTTGAGATGGGTCTCTTGAAGGCAGCATGCTGATGAGTCTTTACTCTTTTTCTACCTTGGCATTCTACGTCTTTTAATTGGGGTATTTGGCACATTTATATTTAAGGTTAGTGTTGTTATGTGTGAATTTCATCCTGTCATCATGATGCTAGGTGGTTACTTTGGAGACTTGTGTATGTGGTTACTTCACAGTGTCACTGGTGTGTGCATTTCAGTGTGTTTTTTTAGTTACTGGTAATGGTTTTTTCTTTCCATATTTAGTGCTCCCTTCAGGAGCCCTTGAAAGGTAGACCTGGTGGTGACATATTCCCTTAGAATTTGCTTTTATGGAAAAGATTTTATTTCTCCTTCACTTATGAAGCTTATTTTGGCTGGATATTAAATTTTGGCTTGAAAATTATTTTCTTTAAGAATGTCAAATATTGGCCCTCAATCTTCTGGCTTGTAGGGTTTTTGCCGAGAGGTCTACTGTTAGTCTGATGGCTTTCTATTTGTTGGTGACCTGGCCTTTCTCTCTCGGTGGCATTAAGATTTTTTCTTTCATTTCAACCTTGGAGAATCTGAAGATTATGTGTCTTGGGGTTGATCTTCTTGTGGAGCATCTTACTGGGGTTCTCTGGATTTTCCGAATTTGAATGTTGGCCTGTCTTGCTAGGTTGTAGACATGCTCCTGGATGACATCCTGAAATATATTTTCGTACTTGGCTCTATTCTCCTTGTATCTTTCAGTTACCTCAGGCAGTTGTAGGTTTGGTCTCTGTACATAATCCCATGTTTCTTGGAGTTTTTGTTCATTTTTTTTCCATGTTTTTTTCTTTATTCTTGTCTGCCTATCTTATTTCAGAAAGATAGTCTTCAAGCTCTGAGATTGTTTCCACTGCATGGTCTATTCTGCTATTGATACTTGTGATGCATGGTGAAGTTCTTGTGTTGTATTTTTCCCTCAGGTTGGTTATGTTCCTGTCTAAAGTGGCTATTCTGGTTATCAGCTTCTGTATAGTTTCATCATTAGTCTTCGCTTGTTTGCATTGGGTTACAACATGCTTCTTTAGCTCAGTGAAATTTGTTATTAACCACCTTCTGAAGCTTATTTCTGTCTGTTCAGCCATCTCAGCCTCAGCCCAGTTCTGTGCCATTGCTGGAGAGGTGTTGTGGTCATTTGGAGGAGAAGAGGCCCTCTGCCTCTTTGAGTTTTCAGCATTTTTGCATTGACTCTTTCTCGTCTTTGTGGGTTTATTTACATTCAGTCTTTAAGGTTGCCCACTTTCAAATGAGGTTTTTGTGAGGTCTTTTGAAATTGATGTTGTTGTCTTCTGTTTTCTGTTTTTCTTTTAGCAGTCAGGCCACTCTACCCTAGGGCTGCTGCAGTTTGCTGGGGATCCACTTCAGATATCAGTTGCCTTTTTTTACCCAGTATCTAGAAGTATCACTAGTGAAGGCTGCGTAACAGCAAATATGGCAGCCAGCTCCTTCCTCTGGAAGTACCATCCCAGGGGAGTACTGAACTTTTGCCAGCCTGCACATGCCTTTAGGAGCTGGCTGGAGATCACCATTGGAAGGTCTCATTTAGTCAGGAGGAACAAGATCAGGAACCTGCCCAAAGAATCAGTCTGGCTGCTTTTTGATAGAGCACGTGTGCTACATTGTGGGGAGACCCTTCCTTCTTTGAACCACTTGTATTCTCCATAGCTGGCAGGCTACAGCGACTGAGTTGACTAAATCATGGAGATGGCAGCCACCCTCCCTCCAGTAACTCCATCCCTGGAAGAAATCATAGCTCCATCCATAGAACCCTGGCTGGAGTGGCTGAAGCTCCTGCAGGGAGGACCCGCCAGTGAGGAAAAGTGGATCTGGCTCCTGCCTATAGAAGCAGTCTGGCCACAACCTGGCAAGGCAGCTATGCTGCGTTGTGGGGGTCCCTTCCTTGTTTGGATTGTCTGTTTTCTCCACAACTGGCGGGATGGAATGGCTAAGTCTGTTGAACCACAGGGATGGCAGCTGCCCCTCCCCACCAGGAGCTCCATCCCAGGGAGAGATCAGAGTTCTGTCCATAGAGCCCTTGCTGGAGTGGCTGAAGCCCCTGCAGACAGCCACCACCCAGTGAGGAGGAATGGATTGGGGTCCCACTTAAAGAAGCAGTCTGGCCACCATCTGGCAAGGCAACTGTGCTGTGTCGTGGGGGACCCTTCCTTGTCCGGACCATTTGTATTCTCCACAACCGGCAGGCTGGAACAGCTGAATCTACTGAACTGTGGAGATGGTGGCTGGCCCTCCCGCCAGGAACTGGGATCCATCTCAGGCCGACTCCAGCAGACTTGGTGCTGTTGGCTGGCTGGGATTCCAAGTCAGTTGGTTTTAACTTGTGAGGTGCCATGGAAGTGGGGTCTGCAGAACGATGCTGCCTGCTCCCTGGACTCAGCTCCCTTCTAGGGATATTTACAGATATATTTCCTGCCTTGCTGGGGATCCCAGGATCGGAGTGTGTCAGACTCCTGGGTCTCTGTGTGTGCCTGAATGGCTGCTCTGCTGAGACTCCATACAGTTCTGTGTGTCAGACTCAAGGCCCTGATGGCCTGGGCTTAAGAGGGGATTTACTGATCCACTGGTAGCAAAGGTCCGTGGGAAAAGTGTGGTTTCCTGGGCGCGGTCACAAAATCACTCGCCAATTCTTTTGGCTGGGGGTGAGGTTTCCTTTGGTTCCATGCTACTCCCTGGTGGGCCATTGCCCCGCCTTCCCCCACTTTTCTTCCATCTCTGTGGGTTGGGTTGTCTAGTCAGTCCCAATGTGAGAACGTGGATATTTCAGTTGAAGGTGTTGAATTCACTTGCTCCTTTTCATTTCTCTCCATGAGTGCCGCAAACCGCAGCTGCTTCTCATCGTCCATCTTGTATCCAGCCGTGAATATATATTTTCTACAGTCAAAATTTATTTAGATTGACCCACATCTTTTCCTTTTTCATTGTTCTTCATACATTTTCATAACACCTTATGTCCATATGGAAGAATTTTTCTACTGCTTAAAAATAACCTTTTGTATTTTTTTAGTTTGGGTTTATTTTTAATAAGTTCCCTCAATTATTGCTTTTCTAAAAGTATTCTTATTGCATATTCTTTCTTAAAATGTATTTTTCTTGGTTTAGAATTCCAGGGTGATAGTTATTTTTTCAGCATTTTGAAGATACTAAGCTATCTCTGGCTTCCATTGAAAGAATGGAAAGTTAATTGAAGTCCAGTTGTTTTAGATTTTTCTCTTTGGCTTTAGGTTTTAGCAGTTTTATTAGGATGTACTTCTATTTTGTGTTTGTTTGTGTCTTTAATTTATTTATTTTAATCCTGCCTAGTTGTCATGGGGTTTCTTGAGTTTATTACCTCATATTTTTCTTTAGTGTTAAAAAATTCTCTAATGTTGCTTCTGTCTCATTCTTCTTACTTATCTTGGACTCTTACCCTTTATTCTGATTTTTCCACTTTTGAATTATGTTGGTTAGTGTATTCTGATGTCTTTTCTAGTCCTTTATTCATTGTGTTGACTGTGTCTAATCCAGTGAGGTCTTAATTTGGCTTTTTGTGGTTACAGATTCTAAAATTTCAAGGATTTTGATCTGCCAATTCCTTTTTCATGTTTCCTAATTGTCTGTCTTAATTCTCACAATCATCTTTTACCTCTTTTAATGCTAAAAGCATCATTATTTTAAAATCTGTATCTGATTTACTCTAAATCTAGAGCATATGTGTCTGTTTTTATTGTGTATTTCTACTGTTAACTTTATGATATTTTGTTTGTTTGTGTGTCTGGTTATTTTTTATTTTGTCCTGAAGGATGTCTATAAAATATTACCTGTAGAAATAATTTGTGAACTAGGCTAATGCTATCTTTCTCCAGAAATTACCTTAGTTTTTTTCAGGCAGACTTCTGTGGACAGTAGCAATGTAGAACTTTAACAGTATTCCAGCAATTGAGATGGTGCAATGATGGGCTGTAATCCCTATGAGAGTTAGTACATTCCCACTTTACCCTTACTTTTAATGTTCAGCCTCAGAAATCTCTACCGCACATACAGAGGTTTAACCCAGCTCCCAAACCTTGTTGAGTCCTGAACTCCAATTGTCCCCATAAACATGATGCATTCTCAAAATTCCTGCTCAGTCTTTTATGCGTGTTTTTTTTTTCTGGAATTGCAAAATGACTACTAGAGGAAAAATAAGCCAAATAAGCCAAAATATCTGGCTCACCTATGTGAATTTCTGTCTTCTCCCCGATCTTAGCTTTGTAATTATTTACTGTCATTATGCTTTACCAATGTCTTTCAGCAGACTTTTTTTAATGCACAATTTTTTGGTTATTCTCAGTGGCAAGGTTAGCTCAGATTCCCAGTTTACTATTACTAGATTTCATATCTATCAATTTCCAAATTATAATGTCACTTCTACTTTGATAATCATTCCAAACCATTCTTCCTTTAAAAGAAAATGTTAACTATCTAGAATAAATAATATTGCAGGTGCGGTTCTGTTACAGGTTTAAACACATTGCAGACGTACAGGTAAATTGGATAGGCTCATTTTTGCCTACCATTAAAGTTATTTTTCCTTTCACAGAACTTTTCCAATTATAGGGTTCTAAACATAGTATTTTCTTCCATGGCCTTTTTTTATTCCAGTGGTTTTAATCCAGTCTCTCTGTCTCTCCTCACGTACTCACCTCCTGAAGGAGTTTTGGCATCCCTCTGCTCCAATTAAACCAGTTGTTCATGGTCTAGTTTGGATCCCCAATGTCTCACTGGATCCTCAGTGCCTTAACATCTTGAAGTATTACAATGCACAGTCATAAGATCCTAGTTGCAGTAGTTAATTATGTAACGGCGTAGTAGTTGAGGGCATAGTCTCTGGAAAGACTGCATTGGCTTCTCCTCTGAGTAGTTGAGTAAACTTAGACAAGGTACATGTTACGGGTTGAACTGTGTCCCCCAAAAAGAAATGTTGAAGTTCTAACCCCTAGTATATCAGAATGTAACCTTATTTTGAAGTAGGGTCCTTGGAAATGTAATTAGGTAAGATGAGGTCATACTGGAGTAGAGAATAGGGTGGGACCTTAATCCTATATGTCTGGTGTCTAAGACAGAGTCACACTGGGAGAACGTCATGTGACCACAGAGGCAGAGACTGGAGTGATAGATCTACAAGCCAAAGAGCATCAAGGATTGAAGGTTACCATGAGAGGCTAGGAAGGGGCAAGGAAGAATTCTCCTCCACAGATTTTAGAGGAAGCATGTCCCTGCTGACACCTTGATTTTAGACCTGTGCTCACTACAACTGTGAGATTACATTTCTATTATTTTAAGCCATCCTGTTTGTGGTACTTTGTACAGTAGTCCTAGGAAACTAATATAGAACTTCTTTTTTACCTTGTTTCCTCATCTCTAAAATGGAGATAATAGTACTCTATATCACAGACTTGTGAATGACCATATGCAAAAAGCAATACAACAGTGACTGAGTTTTAATAAGTGGTATGTAAGACATGTCTGTAATTATATTAGTGAATAAAATTTCATCTTGAAGACAGGGGCTATGATATGTATTTCTCATGAATCCTCCAACACACCTAGTAAGGGCTAAGTACATAATGGAAGCACATAAATACACCTTCAGACATAGACGTGGAGTATTTTCCCTCTATTTCTCAAGTTTCATTTTAACTGGTATGATTTTGCATGTTTCAGATCTTTGAATCTTATATGTATGCCCTGGTTTATACTTGTGACATTATTCCCTGTGCTTTGACTATTTTCAACTCCATTTTATCCCAATTACATCCCTGCCCCTTCTCATGCTTATGCCAAATCATACATTAACTTGTGGTTTCTAAATGTTGATTTGATTTTAGAAACCGAGAGAGAAAAGGCAGCTAAAATGAACAGTTTCCAGATGGTTGTGGAATTTAAAATACAATATGTGGGTTATACGCCTAGCTTTCCTGCAAACCTGGTAAATGACCTCAGATACCTCATATAACATTGTGAAACCCATGTTTCCTTATCTGTACAATTAAGACATTGGATTAAATACCTTCAAACATTTTGTCAGGTTTAGTTACTACAATGAAATTATTCCATGTTCTCCGAGTTCAACAATGTCAAGGAAAAGCTGGTTCTCACTCATCCATTGTGGCCAGCACATGAGGGAGACAGCAGGTATCAAGCACAACATTTGTCTGCTAACTGGTATAGAGAGGTACCTTTGACTATTCTTTCATTCATAGGGTGATGGGCCCTTGAACAATTTGGCCTCTTTACTGTAATTGCCTGTGCAAGCACAATAACAGATGTTTCCAAATACATACTATGTGTATATCCACTTGATATATCTCCGATTACAAAGGGTCTATTGTTCTAAAAAGTTTTTCACATTCATGGTGGAATAATAAAGAGAAGAAATTACTTTTAGGTTACAAGGCAGCATTTTTGCCTTTCAAGTCAAAACACTGTGACAAGTGCCTTTTGCTTATTTGGCAAATTTATAATGAATTTTTAAAAGGTGAACATTACAAGTTACAGTAAAAATCTTGAAATAAGTTATGTACTCCCTGATTTATTTATTCTTTATCAAGTATTACTTGATCACTTTCTGTTTGGTCGCTGTGTCCACCATTTTGCTAAAAATTCACTGTGCTTTTCTTTACCAAGCCAGTGAATTAGTTGTATTCTACATCCTCTTTTATCTCTACTGCCCTTCAAACTGTGGACTGTTTCTCTTTTGCTTCTTTCTCCTCTCCCAATTTTCTGTGATATTATTTTTCAGATTTTCTTCCTACCCTACCAATAAATCTTTTAATTTTCTTTCTCCTACCCTGTAAAGGAAGGTGTTTCTGAATCTTTTCATTTTATTTTCTTGGTCCTAATTTCACTTGAGATGCCAGGCTTATGAGTTCTTTCAGTTTTCTTCATATGGACTAGTTTCCCATTCCTTCACAATTCTACCCATTGTCCTCTATGCAATCTATAATTTGCCATTATTGCCCCAAAATATTTATTCCGTTATAAAAATGACTCTTGATTTCATAGGAATCCTGTAACTATAGTAGTAAAGTCCAAGGTCCCACTAACTTCTTTGGTAGCCATGTAATTCAACATGTGGGCCAGAAATTCTAATTTGACATTTGAAAATTATCTGTCTCCACATTTTCTGTCTAACAAAGTAAATTTTAAAAAATATATTTTCTATATACATGGCTTTTTTATTTTCCCTTTATAACTGCATTTTCTTTAAAAGAGCACAGGACACAATATATTATAACTGGCCAAAGGTTTGTTGGATGGGTAAGAATGGGCTGAATCAAGAAAATTATCAAGTGACTCGCACATAGGCCATTAGATGATTGAAAAAATAGATCTATATGCTAGACTAATCTGAGATAATTTTGTACATCAATTATTTTTTTTGTTAGAATTATGAGCTTGAAGTTTCTAATAAAGATTATAAGCTGCTTCCTATGTTCTCTTTAATAAGTCAAAAAATAAGCCATTCACTTTCAAAATAGTTTCATTAACTTCAAGTAAAATAGGCTTTGCTTTTAACATCATATTTTTAAGTGTATTTACCATTGTATGGCTCCTCTGACCCCTCAAAAGCCGGCTGAAGGAATAATAACAATATTGTATGGATTCAAATCCAGTTACTCCATGTCCTGTAATTCCCTCAGAGTAAGAGAGAAGAGGGAGAAATTGCTCTTTTGCATATCCCTAGGTATCTTCATTGAGGAGAGTCAGTATTTTGTATTCAGCCAGCTTCTCACAGTAAAGAGTATTCCCAAGGAGTAAATAAGGCAATCAGGAGAATCATTAACTATTTCGAGCCAAAAAAGTATCACTTAATGCACCAAAGTAATAATGAGCAAATTAGTAGTCATGTAGCTAGTGACAGTTCAAGAAGTATGGCTGCTCACTTGGGAGTACCCATTGTACAGTGAAAGTCCTGTTAAGCCCCCTGCCCCCGAAAAGAGTTTATATCAGGATGGACTAAATTCTTTGGAGGTAAAGAAATAAACACATTGACAATCACTCACATACTTAAACAAAACTGTATTTATGAAGTTCAGAGTTCAGGGTTTTTCATGACACATTCACCACTATTAAGTGGTACTTAATCAGAGTGCATATGTTCCAAGAAAGTGAAGGTTTAGTACATTTCGCACCTATGCAAATATCCAGCATGATCATTACTGACAACATAATGATTGGCGAGGTCTTTTTGTAGACCTACAACCAGAAGCACCAAGTTTAAAAAATGGATGTGTACATTTTAGAGTCATGGCACATAGCGAAAGTTACAGAACTTCTTTGAACCTATGTCACGGGACTACTATCAGGATGCTGTAGGACATGTAAAAGCAATTAGGAAAACATATGACATATTTTGGTGTTCAGGAACCATTACTTGAATCTGAATCTTAGATCACCATTTAATAGCTCTGATGCTCTCTGTAAATTACAACAAATGCTATTTGCTCTGCCAACCACATAGTATTGTTGAGATAATCAAGGAGGATGAGTGTAAAAGTAGTTTATACAATTTTAATAATTACATATCTGATTGCTTCCGTGTACCACACATACTCTCAGTGATTTCAGTGACTCTATTGTCACTGCAAGCTAAATATGTATAAATAAATAAGCACAATTTCTAGTGTATGCTAAATACTCAACAAAGAGTAGCTGTTATTAGAATGGTACATTATCATTATTAATACTGATGTTTTACAGAAATTGGTTTTATACCTTCTATTACTCTGAATTGAATTGTGATCTACGAAAAGACTTTAAATATTTACCTGAAATCACAAATGACTAATTCCATTTTCACTTTAAAATGCAGACAAATTTGTCACTAAGTGGTGCTTTTTGAATAATTATTTTGGAAAAAACATTATTTAATATACTTGTCCTGTGGATTGCTAACATATACTTTTATTTGTTTAAATTTTTACCATCCAGTTTTCCCAAGCCCCCCGACCCCTTTATTTTAGTGGAAGAAAGAGAGGTTAAGAAGAAGCTGTTACGTTTCTGGATAATGAAATATAAAAAATTATATTCTCCTAAAAATAATTTTGGAAAATTCATCACATTTTGATCTTAAAGCATAATACATAATATTTCTTAATGTGGTACAAAATTAGTAGAAATAGTCCAAGCACCTTAAATATTTGTTTGTGGAATTTGAAAAAAAGAAGCCATTTAGAAACTAGCTTTGTCACTTGAATTTGGAAAAACATTAGCATAGCCCTTGGATACATACAGCTGAATCAACATGCTTTATCTGCATAGCTATAATTGCATTTAATAAATAGAACCACATGTTAATGAAATCCAAGGATCACTTGATACTAAAATATTCAAGGCTTAGTTCACATAGTGTTTTAATTTTGTTGATGGTTTTGTTCTCTTCCTTTCTCTCTTCATTCCCTCCTTCCCTTCCTCCCTCCTTCCCTCCTTCCCTTTGTGCCCCTTCCTTACTTCCTCTTTTTCCCTCCTTCCTTCTTTCCCTCCCTCCCTGTTTCTTCTTCTCTCCTATTTTCTGCTCCTTTCTTGTCTCCTCCCTCTTATGTCTTTTTCTCCTTCCTTCCTTCGTTCCTTCCTTCCTTCCTTCTTTCCTTCCTTCCTTCCTTTTATTTACCTCACTAGACTTCTGGCATGTAAGAAGAAATGGTATAATGGGATATAAACTTTATTATTTTTACTAGAAAAAAACAGGAGCTTGGGATTTTAAAAGTCTTGCCTTGTGGAAAGTAACCATCAAAAGTAATTTATTAAGGTTCCTAATGTCCTGAGAAAAAAAAATTTCAAAATGTATGCCCTAGCCTTTAGGAGTTAATAACCTAAACTAGATGAAGCAAATAGGAACACAAAATTAGAGGATGCCTCGAGACAGTAAGAATGCATCTTTAAAGTTGTACGAGAATTGATAGGTGTTTCTTTCAGTGTTGAAGTATCACGGTGTAAACAGCACCAGAAACGAAGATGAGGAGCTGGCATTATCTTTGAATCTGCTGCTGTCTGATTTTGGTCAAATCCTTAAGTCGCTTGGTGCCTCAGCTTCTTCATTAACAACATGTGGTTATGAGACTTGTCCTTCTCACTGCATACTCTTTTTCTTTGTGACTATCAAATGAGAATGAATGCAAAAGGGTTTAAAATTAGGATACAACATTGAAATGAAATAAAATTGTCTGTTTCATCTAACCTTCTCAATGTAACTGCAAATTCTCCCAAGGAAGAAACGTATCTTTGAATTAAAGAAATCTCTCATTAGGAGCAATGTCTGTGCAAGTGCCAAAAACCATCCTAATACTATATTAAGCTTAATATTACCAAAAATATATAAATGTCCCAAACGTACATTTGACCCTACTGACTACGAAATAAAGCTTCCAAGTTACTCCAGGAAGCAGTTTTGATAATTATTCCACAATTACACAGGAGACATTGCACTTCCTCAAACCTCCTAGAGAAGTCTTCCTGTCACTCTTCCTGCGTTTGCCTACCACCTGGTCCCAAGGCTAATGCCACAAATTTTAGATTTTGTTAAGGCAGCACCCCATTTCAGAATCCAAATTATCTCTCAACTATATCTTGCTATGTGTCAGAGTGCCCCCAAATTTAGTAACTTGAGACAGCAAACATTCATTTGATTGTGACTCTATGGATCAGCAATGTAGCCACATCTCAGGCAAGATGGCTTGTCTATGTCCTATGTGGTGGTGACTGGGCTTACACCTGTGACTGCAGTTATCCTGTGGTTCAAATCCTGGGGTTCCATGATGTGAATTGATCTTACTTATCTGGGCCAAGTGTCTCCTACTGTAGGGTTCTTCAGATGGTGGTAGCAGTGTGGAGTAGAGAGCAGTAGCTGCAAGTCCACTTAAAGGCTGAGTAAGGAACCCATATAACATCACTTCATCATATTCTGTCAGCCAAAGCAAATCGCAGACCAGCCTAAATTTGAAAACTAAGATGGTCATACTGCAAAGGAGAGTGAAAACTGGAATGGATAAAATTGCTACAAACATTTTTGCAAATAATCTACTAGACCTGAATTTGGTAAGAGTGAAACATGTGACTGGGTGTATGCCTGTATTGAGAAGCACATGAGATATAACTGATATTAGTTGGAGGAAGTAAATACTTTTAACAAAAAAGAAGTGGTTCTCTGCAACAATTTTTATAATTTGTAAAGTAGGAGAATTGCGTTTCCTTAAAAGTTCTTGAGAGTCATGGCTGGCATCTATTAGGAATTCAATTAATATTCCTTGAATAAATGAATGAATCAATTTGCCTATAAAACAATCTAAACCTGTCTCCTCTACTTCAGAAAAGTAATAACCTTTTAAACATTTTCTGTAATGATTTATTCAGGTTTATTATTGCTTCTTAACGATTTATGTTTTCTTAAGACACATATTATTTTATTGAGCTTAAAATTACTTTTAGTCATCCATCCTAGTATCTTGTTTTAAACTCTGTATCTGTAGTCATGGTCCTCTTCTTCATCTGTTCTGTAAGATTCATTTTTTTTCTTCCAAATTTTAGATTTATGGGGGTACCTGTGCAGGTTTGTTACATGAGTAAATTGCGTCACTGGGGTTTGGTATACAAAGGATTTTGTTACCTAGGTAGTGAGCATAGTACCGGACAGGTAGTTTTTCAGTCCTCACACTCCTCCCACCCTCCACCCTCAAGTAAGACCTAGTGTCTATTGTTCCCCCTCTCTATGTTCAGGTGTACTCAATGTTTAGCTCCCACTTGTAAGTGAGAACATGTGGTATTGGGTTTCCTCTTCCTGCATTAATTCGCTTGGGATAATGGCCTCAAGATTTTCTCAGGCTTCATAGCTCTTTCTTTTCTCTGATACAAACTTTACTTTCTAATTTCATTCTCAGAATTAAACTAAAGATACTTAAGCATATTCCATTTTTTAAAAAAAATTAAGTCTGGTTTCATATTGTTTAGCATTTGCAGGGAAGGGGCTTTTTCCTTCCTCCTCTTTGCAACATATCATTAAGATATGAATTATAAATTATATATCAGTTATGACTAATTTTCAAACAATTTAAACTATAAAATAAAACATTAAGTATAGCAAGGGATACTATCTGTTACCTTCTCCAATCTTTGCATATTGCAAACCTATTATTTCCTGTTTTCTTGACCTGCTACAAAGTTTTATCCTTTTTCTTCCCCAAAAACCCCTGAAATTCAGGAATAATCTATATTGTTTAAATTGAGAACTATAGAAGAGAGAAAAAGGCAAGAGGACAGTCAAGATATCCCTTTTCTATTAAATTCTCTCCTCTTTTATTATGTCTGTCTTCTGGTCTCCTTTCAACTCATAGGCCAAGTGGTGGGAAAAGCCTTCCTGATTCAGTCTTGCATTTTATTTCCTTAGCCCTGCAGCGATAGCAATGGAAATGCTTAGATCAAAAAGAGAGATAGATTTGAAAGGAGATGGAAAATGTCCCTTTCATTCTCAATATAGATATTGCATTTGAGAATTTGTGTATAAAGAAAGGATTTCCCCTCTCTCTCTTTTTGGTAGAACAAATAGCAGAGAGAAGTGTGAGTTAAAAGGCAATATAGATTGGATAGACAGGAACAGGTAGACAATGATCACTCTCAGTCTGTGGATGTGGATACAAAGGTAACCTTTCCTTGTCTATTTTTATCATGTTTCTTTAACATACTATAGTTTGTTTGTTTGTTTTTGTTTTGTTTGTTTGTTTGTTTGTTTTTGAGACAGAGTCTTACTCTGTTTCCCAGCCTGGAGTGCAATGGCGTGATCTCAGCTCACTGCAACCTCCACCTCCTGGGTTCAGGCGATTCTTCTGCCTCAGCCTCCCAAGTAGCTGGGACTACGGGCGCCTTCCACCATGCCCGGCTAATTTTTGTATTTTTAGTAGACACAGGGTTTCTCCATGTTGGCCAGGCTGGTCTCGAACCCCTGACCTCAGGTGATCTGCCCACCTCGGCCTCCCAAAGTGCTGGGATTAGAGGTGTGAGTCACTGCGCCTGGCCCATACTATAGTTTTATTTTGCTAAAGAATTGACCCATTTCAAATCTCAAATCTGTTTTAATGACTTAGCAGTGTTTTTCATACTGCCTTTTAACATAGATGTTTAGAAGTTACCTTAGAATGCTGGTTATCACAAAGAGATAAAGATACCACCTCTACTCTAGAAACTGGACATGAGAAAAAGGAAACTTTTCTGGCATTTTTGGAGCTTCTCGGTTTCAACCCTTTTAATCACAGACTTCCCCAAGCTTTGAACATTCTCTGAGGTGGCTGACTGGAGCTGTGAGTAGACATGAGCAGATGTGGGTAGAATGCATGTTGGGGAAGTGATATAAAGAAGGAACAGAACTCCACTGAGGGCAGAGATTTTGGATATATAACAAAATGTGCGTCAGAAAACATCATTTAACTGGTGTTCACATATCCATAGTGCAAGCGTAAAATGGAAAATGTCAATGATACACTCTTCAGTTAGGTACTTGTTAGAAAATTGCAAGCATATATTTAAAACTAATAATAAATGTAAACATAATAAACCTTAAAAAGATAAGAAACAGGGAGGCCAGAGTTCCTTTGGTGTAGCAATATTAGGCCTCTGATTGGTCAGTATCTATAATTAACTCTTGCTGAATTTTTAAAAATGCTTAAAGATATAAGAGGAATTTGTTCTTATATCTGTACTTCCTCTGGATTGTTACTTTTTGAAGATAGAAATATTATCTAGGTGAGTCCTGATGTTTGCAGGGCTTCCCTAAAAGCAATGTAAGCAACTCTTAATAGTACATGTACTGCACGTTGTGCACATGTACCCTAGAACTTAAAGTATTAAAAAAAAAAAAAGAGGGTGAGGGATAAAAGACTGCAAATTAGGTACAGTGTATACTGCTCGGGTGATGGGTGCACTGAAATCTCAGAAATCACCACAAAAAAACTTATCAATGTAACCAAATATCACCTGTTCCTCAAAAACCTATGGAAATAAAAATTAAAAAAAAAAAAAAAAATATATATATATATATATATATATATATATATAAATGCTGAAAAACAAGGAGCACTTGAGGGCCACCAAGTCTTCCTTCTTCCAACAATCTTCATTAATTGTTCCCATCCAGAGCACTTTTAAAAAGTAGTTTGTAAAATGGCAAGTTTCTTGGGTTCAAAATAAATAATATATGTAATGAATAAGCTTTCCATATGTAATGTATATAACAGATAAAAGTGCATTCACTGCTTACCTCCTCCCTTCAACATTTTCCTTACTCCCAGGAGACACTGAGACATCACCATTACACCTTGGATATTGTTGGTCACCACTTAATAACCACTGACCTTGGCCCAGGTCAAACTTTCTCCTCCTAAAATCTTTACAAAACATGTTATAGTCTCCACTGCTATAATTGTTATGTCACTTATAAGTGTGACCTGGAACAATCCTTTCTCTGAGACCCAATTTTTAGAATTTGGGGGATAAGAATGTCGATAAATCTCATCTTTCATTTTTTTCTGTGTGAATATAAGTTAGACATAGGTATCATGCATATGGAGATCAAAAAAGCCCTTACACTACTAATAAAGGTTTTGTAAGACATAGCTAAGGTGCAGGCAGACAGTGGTTGTGATTCCTCACCCCCAATCACCACCTGTCATGACTGGACTAGACAGACTGGCCTGGTCATAGGAAAAACCGTATAGCTGCAAGCCTGCAACCTTGCTAATGATGCCTTTAAGCAAAATGTCTCCATCACCAAAATCGCTGATGAGAAGCCACCCTGTCTGCAGACAATCAGATCCCATACGAAAGGTGGGAGAAAGAAGCTTAAATGGGCACAACAAATTCTTTCTCCATGACTTAGGAACAGAATACATTACTTCCCCAGGAGTAAGGTTGTTAGTGCCCAGGGGTTACTCTAATATGGGTCTCTGTATCTGGAAAAACAAGAGGTAAGTGCTCCCCAAAAATTTCTCATCTGCAATTTTTATTGAATTATACATACCTGAGAGGTTTCTGTAAATGAGGTGATGTTTTTGAAACCACTTACATGGGATATTTAATAGCATTATCTTATTTTTTATTGTTTTTATTTATTTATTTATTTTTTGAGACAGAGTCTCTCTCTGTCACCCAGGCTAGAGTGCGGTGGCAGAATCTCGGCTCACTACAAGCTACACCTCCTAGGTTCATGCCATTCTCCTGCCTCAGCCTCCCGAGTAGCTGTGACTACGGGGGCCCGCCACCACACTTGGCTAATTTTTTGTATTTTTAGTAGAGACGGGGTTTCACTGTGTTAGCCAGGATGGTCTCGATCTCCTGACCTCATGATCCACCCTCCTCAGCCACCCAAAGTGCTGGGATTACAGGTGTGAGCCACCGCGCCCGGCCCTGCATTCTCTTATTTTAATTATTGTTACCGCTCAAAGTTTCACTTTCTTAATGTTTTACATTTCTTGCTACTTAATGATCAAGTCACCCCCTCAACAACATTGCCAAGCACATCAGAACCACCAGACACTTTGGGAGGCCCAGACGGGTGGATCACGAGGTCAGGAGTTTGAGAACATCCTGGCTAAGACAGTGAAACCCTGTCTCTACTAAAAAAAAAAATACAAAAAAATTATCCAGATGTGGTGGCGGGTGCCTGTAGTCCTGGCTACTCGGGAGGCTGAGGCAGGAGAATGGCATGGACCTGGGAAGTGGAGCTTGCAGTGAGCCAAGATTGCGCCACTGCACTCCAGGCTGGGTGACAGGGGCAAGACTCCGTCTCAAAAAAAAAAAAAAAAAAAAAAAAAAAAAAAGAACCAACCGAAAGTTAATTTGACTACATTATGTGGATGATAACTTTTATATGCATGGTCACAATATGATTATAACTTTAAATGTTCAAAATTATGGATTTACTTTAAAGATGTTTGATTATCATAGAAATAAAGAAGGAAGGAGAAACAAAAATGAAAGAAAAAATGCAAAGAAGGAGGGGAGGAAAAAATAAAATTAAACGTGATAAACTATTAGTTAGATATTTTCATTCAGGGTTTTAAATCAGCAGGTTTCAATGTAAAGTATTCTTGCCCCTAAAATCAAATAGGAACCATTAATCAACTGTTTTTATTATTTTGATATTCAACAGTTTTAGAAAGTCTACTCTTATCTACTATTTCCTAACATATCTTTAGATATGAAACGCACTTAAAAATTGTAAAAAGCCTTTAATGTATAACTTGATAAAATTCTCACTACTATTTATAATTATAACCTAATATAAGTGTGGTCTTATCTTCGTATTTAATCAGAACACTCTATTTAACTTTCAGTCTGATGTATCTAGAAAGGTTCTCAGTTCCAGAACTTTAAGATCAGTTGATACTACAAGATCTTAAAACTTTATTTATTTGCAACTGAAAGTTAAGGAGCCATTTCTCCACTGCCATCATCAGCATGCTATAAGCATAAGTGCTGACTAATCTCACCTCCTTCCTCACACAAGTTATCATTCATTCGATACAGTAGAAAAGAAAAGAGGAACAATCTCATGCCAGAATCATACCATAAGGAGTAGAAAATCATCATGCTTCATTGTGTGAAAGCCTAAACTTAAACCTAACCATCACCATTTGTGGCAGAAGGGAAACCAGAATCCTTATATTCAGAAAGGTATAACTTCCACTTCTTAACAGTTGTTTTGAATGACTGTAGTTTGAAAACTATTTTTAATAACTGTCGGTTTTAATAACTAACAGTAATTGACTAGGGACTTTGGGGTATTTATTTATGATAACATTTTACTCTAGTCAAGATGGTTCATGTTATTAAAGTGAACTTTCACATCTCTTATGGTTTGAAAGACTAAACCGCTTTATTGAAAAGCAAAATCCTTGCATCAAAATCTTGCCAGTAGCAGTAAATACACTAATGTTTTTTAGATGACAGTGGAATTTTAACTGACAAGGCAGATTTTGTTTCTTTTGAGTCCTCTGTCTCTCTTTCTCAAATATGCTTTTGGTATCAGGTCAGGGAGCCTTGCTAAAATGAATGGTTTATGGGAGACTAAGAACATGTGTGTCCAGACTAAGATCATAGCATAGGCAGGTTATGGGGTCAGGTTTTTCTGAGCCTATTCCTTTGAAGTCTCTTTGCAGGGATTCCTGGAAAATGGCCAGTATATAATCAATTCTGAAATACTCTGCTAACAACCCATCTGGAAGATTATGTTTGTTTTCCCAAACAGCCAAAGAGCTCTGCAAGGTAAAGCCTGTCTTCCTATAGTGGTGAATATTTCCCTAAGGTGAAGTCTACAGCAGACAGCACAGATGTTGCTACAGTGGCATATGAGGACAATGGGAAGACATGTGGCTAGAAGAAATGGACCACAGTATGAGCATATTGGAGCCTAGGGAAGTCAAACAGTGCACTGTGCAGCACTCGCTGAGCACCCTGATTTTAGGTGACTCATAGAGGCCAAGAAGATGAGAAAGCCCAACAGGAAAGCATTGATAGGGGCGGCTATTTAATGTGATATGTCAGTATTCAGGGAATGTAGAGCATAGGATTTTAGCACAGAATGAAAATTTGGAGAACATTTATCTACATTTTATACTTTATAACTGATAAAATGAAGGCTAAGAAGACTTGGCTTACAGAATTTCACACAATGAGCTAGTGGGAGAAGGAATGCTAGAATACATTATAAAAAGTTGGAAACAACCTAAATGTCCATCAACAGGAGAATAAATGAAGTCATATTAATTTGACAACTGCTTTCAGGTGAATATGACACATAGATTGGCTAAAGTGTGGGTCTCATGAGCTCCTGAAACAAAAAATGGAACCACATCCAAACCCCATACCTGAAAGAAGTAGATTCCCTACGTGTTCCAAAATTGGGGGCAATTGCCTGAAAAGGGGGAAATGGAAGCTGGAGAGGTAAGGAACTAATGTTCATGACAAACAAGATCGTGTTCTTCCAGAAGATTAGCCACTGCATCACCCAGCAGAAACATTCCATTTGATGGGAAAGTGGCCTGTTACCATTTTCAGATTGGGGTAACTGCTCACATAGGATGCCATCTTTATCAAGAGAGCAAATCATTTTGTACAAAAAGGCAATGCATTCCTCTTAGTGGCTTTTCTTTTCTTCTGTTATTTTCTGAGAGATTCTGAAAAAAAATCTAAATGCTAAAAGTAATGCAACCAATTAATTCCCCTTGGGCATATACTATGTGTCCATTTATATAGATTATTTCCTTCAATTATCTCAGTACAGTATGCAGGAACTATCATTATTATTATTCAGTTTTATAGATGTGCAAACTGAGGCTAAAGAGGTTAAATTGCCCAAGGGTCACACAACTAGGAAATAGTGGAATTTGGAATCAAGTGGAGACACTAGGACTCCATAGCCTCATTTCCTTTTTGCTCTCTTCTAATTTCTATTTGGTAAGAAAAAAAATTGCCATCAGACTCCCCATTTTTTCCAATACTTTGTTTGCTATTATGTCTGATGTTCAGAAAAAATATTCGGATGGTTTCTACCTTTTTTACTCCTAGACATTTTGGGGTTATGGAAACCATGCCTCATGCTGTAGGGAACACTTGTCTTATTTGAACTGTAAATGAAGTGCTAGCTCAAGTCAGATTTCACCCACTGTGTGAACCCTGAGCCAGACCCTATGTTTTTCCTCAGTGCTAAAATTTACTGTCAGCATACTGTATGCTGCTTATCTTCCTTTTGGCCTACCTCTGAAGAACTATATCGATTCTTCATTTAGGTCAGCAGGTTGATTTTCTCACCTCAACTGCAAGCCTCTGAATAGTGCTAGATAATTCAAATCTTCCTATCCTAGAGTTGTACTACATTCCCGTATATACAGATTTCTTGTCTATGTTTTTTTTTTCTCTTAGGGAAGAATTAGAAACATGTTTAATTGTCAGAATTAAAGGATGCTTATATAGGAAGAAAGAATTATGACTGTAGAATTATACATCTTGAAGAGACCTAAAATATCATCGAATTCAAAGAATGTCACCCGCAGGAATGAAAGGCATGTGCCAATTAGGGGTATTGACATCACTTGATAATTCTGTGTAAAAATATACTTTCACATTCCACCTCCCAAAATACACAGTCTGCTATAATACCTAGGAGCATATTATCTCCTGCAGCCTCACACTGAAATTTACCTGAAATTCACTGACTAAATGAGGCATCATTAAGAAGAATGTGACATAAACCGTTATTGCAAGGTAGGAGTACTGTATCAGAGTTAAGTAAGAAAAATAGAGCCCATGCATGCCAGATAGAACAATAGAGAAGAGTTAATAGTGGGCATTCATTTACAAGATGTTGGGAAAACTGAAATCCAAGCATGAGGAAAGTGAGGTCACCTAGGAATTAGCAGTGGCAGGAAGCCAGTTTCTTTCCTTGGGTTGGAGAGAAACAGTGAGAATCAGAGCCCAGAACTGGAATCACCTGGAGGGAACTAGAACCATGAAGGGAAGAACCAGTGAAAAAGAAATTTCCTTTTCCACTCCCTCTAATTCCCTGTGTCTCCTAGTGGTTGAATCTATCCAGAAGCCAGTTGACAAGGAAGCCTGAAAATGTAACCTTGCAGCGCCCAGTTCCCTACAATATAGAGCAAGAAGCAGAGAATGAAGATAAAAGAAAATCATAAGTGACCAGCAGACTTAGAATCACTGTTTTAATCCCTTCATCAATTGTATACATGATTGCTTCAATTATCTCCAGATGAAGAAGACTTCTCAAATTTCCTTACCAACAAATGTCATAGTCACACTCTCATAGCCAGGAAGTTATCTTTCTGTTATTAAAAAATTATTTTAGAAGTTATTTATTTTTGTATACAATGGGTAATTACTGTCTTGTGTAGTTTTGTCATCATTATATTTTTAAAACTGTAGGAATACATTTGCCATACTTATTTTAGTGTTGATCTTTGATGTTCAAAAAAAAATTTATTTTAATGTTTAGATTTTTATGTATTTCCCTGTTTCAAAATTATCTGATAAGAATATATCATCTGTTTCCTACTTTTTCTTAAAATTCATGGAAGAGCATTTTTCCTCCTCCAGCTATATACACCAGAACTTAAGAATCTTCATTCAATGTTTTTAACAAAGTCTTATGAAGGTAGAAGAAAATACAATGTTAAGGCTTTGAAAAGGATTAAATTTCTTTAATAAGTTACTCAATAATGTAAAAGTAGAATAATAGTATTTAGTCTACTTTCAAATGGTATACCAAGTGCCTTTTATGTTCTGACTCATGTTCTCTTAGGTCATTTTTATCTATCAGCCACTTTTGTAGCAGCCAGCTTCATGAATGTGGAACTGAGAAACACCTTATCTCAGTATCAGCCTCTTCCTTCCTGGTACTTCTTTGATCCTCAATATGGGAGTTTGAAGTAATCTTGGTCACTCATGCATGTACAACCTAAGTGTGGTAAGGAGGTAATATAGATCCTTGGACAAGCCTACACCAATGGAAAGCAGTAGCCGAAGGATAAATATTTTTTCTTCTTTTTTTAGATGGAGTTTCACTCTTGTTGCCCAGGCTGGAGTGCAGAGGCACGATCTCAGCTCACTGCAACCTCCGCCTCCCAGGTTCAAGTGATTCTCCTGCCTTAGCCTCCTAAGTAGCTGGGATTATAGGCATACACCAACAAGCCTGGCTAATTTTTGTATATTTATTAGATAAGGAGTTTCACAATGTTGGCCAGGCTAGTCTTGAACTCCTGACCTCAGGTAATTGACTCGCCTCAGCCTCCCAAAGTGCGGGGATTACAGGTGTGAGCCACTGAACCCGGCCACATTCTCTTCTTTCAACTCACAGATGAACCATTCTGAAGCTAGGTCTCTGCAGCTCCAAGGTTTCAATAGGATTGAGCACCAATTGTTGTTAGTGGTAACCAATCTAAAAGTGTCTTCTTGCATTGACTTTCCCTTCACTTCCTATGAATTCTTTCCCCAAATAAACTCAACCTCTTGTCTCGATCTCTGCTTTTTTGAAAACATAAGCTAAGACAAATAGAAAATATAATTTTTATTTTTATCATATATTTTATGTTTTTATTTTACATATTTTTGTTTATTTTCTTTGCCAAAATTACCAAAGATCATTATAAAATATATATGTGTACCTTGTGCATTTCAAATAATTTAAAGAACATATCTATTATTTTGACTCCATAAGGTAGGCAGAGTAATTAATATTTTCTTTATTTTATAGAAAAATATGCAGAAGGGTTAAGTGTTTGCTCAAATTCTCCCCAATTTGGGGCCGATAGAATGAAACAGAATTTCAGCCTACTAATCTAGGACTTCTTTTTATGTAGCTGTAACCAATCAAGTATATATATTTTCCCCTGGGTTAATGTTGATGGCACTTTACTAAGTGCAGCCTTAAATGATGGAGTGAAATAACCAAGTCCTTTTGGGAAACTGGCGTGGCACACTAATTATCATGGCATATAGCAATCATCAGTGATTCAATCCACTATTAGTAAAGGTCATAAGGTGAGAAAAGGGTTGCAAGAAACACTCAGTGTAGAAATTTCAATCCTAAAGACTAAAAATTGCCTTCAGGACTATAGTGAATAGGAAACACTGCTGTTTAGATTATCAGTTATTTCAGTCTTATCAATACAAAATATTGATATTAGAAATATTTATTGTCAAACTAATAACTTTCTTTCCAAAGTCTCTGTGACTGTGAGTCAGGTTTTGAGAAAACAATGTTTTCACTAGAAGCAGAAAATACTGAGATCCTGAGAAGGTGAGTCACGGTCAAGTAGAAAGCCAAAATCCTCCAATTCTTAGCCGCCAGAAATATGTTGCCAGGAGAATTTAGATCTGCTTAAAAATAAAAAAGCAACTTAACATGATAATCCCATAATATATAAATTATCTTGGAATATAACTCTACTCTCTGTTCTTTCCTCCTATAACCTCCTTGCTATTCAGTTCAGCCCCATATCTTTTCTCCCACCAAACTCATCTGTCTCTTTCACCTTGGAATCAGCCCATCTTTTGTTTAGAAAATAGCTATTACATTCTCATAGACTAACAGTTCTCAAGTGTTGCGTATGTTTTGAAACATAAATTACTAGAATGTAGTGTTACTTTCTGGGGTACCTAAGATGTATGTCGGCTCTTTAAGATTGTATACTACACACCGGAGAGGTAAAAACTAAGGTGACCTTATATTAGACAACATTCTTGAATGCAATGTTGCATACTTTTATGAAGTTTATGAAGTTTTTCTACATGTCTTTTGACTATGCTGATATTATAATATTTTTCTTTTGAAGCCACAAACGTTTTTCATTAGGTTTCATGACTTGATTAATTTACTATAGGCATCACTTAATTTCTGGAGACAGGAATGGTTTGCAAGCAATGGACTTGCAAATTTTCATGTTAGGCAAACTGGTTTTGATAAATCAATCATTATTCTATACATCTGGTTCTGTGACTCAAATACTGTTCTACTATAACTTTACCCAACTATAACATACACCTAATAAAGTATACTGTAATACAGGTGTGGGAAAACTATAGCTGAACTATCAAGTATCACCCGCTGACTGTTTTTGTAAATAAAGATTTTTTTAGAACATATCCAAACTGGTGTATTGTCTATGCATGTTAACATGCAACATTGGAAGAGTTGAGTAGTTGTGGCCAAGACCACATGGCCTGCAAAATATTTACTATTTGGCTCATTAAATAAGTGTCTGCCAATGTCTGCTCTAATATTTTGACTTAAATAAGAGGTTTCCATCAAGGTAATATTTCAGCTTACTTTTCTTTACCTTATTTTACCACTGCATAATAATACACAGGGAAGAGAGAATAGAACCTTTAACCATTTTAACTTCATTGTGCTTGGCATATTGGTTCAGCATACTCTTCTCTTCTAGTTGTTGCTTATAATTTGTTTTGTTTCATGGAGCAAATGCTTCACGAATGAGTTTGTGATTAAAACATAAATATATAGAGTATGCTAGCATAGTCAATGGGTTGTCATCTTATTTTAAGGATTTCAGTAAAGGCAAATAAGAGGTATGCTCCCAAAGCAGGGATCAAAACATTAAAGACAAGTTAAAAAGTTAAAGATATGCCTCTATGTGAGCAAAAACCATGCTGTGAGAGTATTCAGTACAGTCAGAACCTTGGCCAGGGAGCCTGGTGATTGTGGCCCATTGCAAGTCCAATTAACTTAAGGTAGTTACAAGAAACAGATAAAAATACAGGAGCTGAAACCTTTATTTGTGAGAATGCCAGTGAAAATCATTTCTGTCCACATCTCTGTGATTATGCATTAGAAATGAATTTCACTTACAAAAATATAAGTTTATTTGACCTAGTTCTGATTGAGTATATTTTCCATAGTGCAAGATAAAATTCTGTTAGTGGCAACAAGTAGGTAACAGTTTAGAACAGAAGGATTTTTCTTTTCTTTCTTTTTTTTTTTTTTTCTGAGAAGGAGTTGTATGTATTTATTAAAGAATAATAATGTGCATCTGCGATTGAACTTGATGCCTCTCCATGGGTCCAAGGTTCAAAAAATGGCAGCACCAGCGTGATCTGAGGGTGGAGTTTTCAGCCCTCTGACATCAAAAGGTGAAGCAGAGGACATGAAAACCCTCACTGTGCCTCCTCCATAGACTAGCCAGAGCTACTCCATGGTCAGTGGTCTCTTATTAGGAACGAATGCTGGTTGATCGTTGTGTCAAAACCACAAAAGGGAAGAGCAACAGTCAGGTGGTTGGTTGATATCAATGGTGGAGTCTTTATAAATGGCTGGATTCTGTTTAACCCTTTCTTTAACGAAGAAAGCCTAATGGAACTTAGTGAAGAAGGGGTTATAATGTGGCATGTCTGGCCTCCCATTTCGTCATGGCCAGGAACTCAGTTTTAAGATTTCTCAGTTTTAAGATTTCTCAGTTTTAAGATTTCCATTCAGTTGGTTGTGAGGGCTTAGGACTTTATTTTTATTACTTATTTCCTCCTTTTAGCTGAAATTTACCAGAGGCAACCTTGAAAGCCAAACTTTTATTTTGTCCCATATTGTTGCCAGGGAGGTGAGGATGCCTTCCATTTGTCCATCCTATTCCTCAGTGGGACCTCTGTAGCCAGAAGACTTAGAGCCAAAAGACATATCACCTATAAACCTTTTAAGGTCAGCCTTTAAACCTTTTAAGCAATATAGGAGCCAAAAATGCCAAAACCAAGGCCAAAATAACTTTTATGAATTGAGCTACTGTAATTTTAGTTTTAGTTAGGCTTCTAGCAATTGGCTATATAAAACATAAGAATTTTGCTAAAACCATTTAAGCTAAGGAATTTAGAGAATTTCATTTTGTTGCAGTGCTTTTTGTGGTCTCTTTAGTAATTTGTCCTAAAGTGGCCAATTTTTTTTTGTCATGTCTCTGTTTGTGTAAACCCTATAAGTGGGAACAGTTTGCCCAGAAGGCTCTGTCACCAGGTATCTTGATGTTCTCTCAGTAATTATCTTTTTAATCTATGGGAAGCAGAAAATTCTTTATGGTTGGGAAGGATGGAAAGGTGCCGCATAGTGGCCCAGGAGGCAAAGTCCCAAACTTCGCCAGCTGTTTAGGCATCTGTGTGCCTGTCAAAGGAGCTTTCTTAACTTCTGGCCTAGGGTATTCTTTGGAGCTGGAAAGGATCTTAGTGATTATTTATTTCAACTCCCTCATTGTAAAGGTTGGATAACAGCCTCCCAAAGAAGTTAAGTGATTTGCCTATGGTGACCCAAGTTATTGGTGTGAAAGCCAGAATTGGGACCTAGATTATCTCAGCTTGTATTTGTGTCCTTTTCTGCCTTATCATATTGCACTGAACTTGCTGATCATTGTGTTGACAATCTCATTTTATTTATTTTAATATAATTGAACTTGAAATGATTTATTTGATAACAAAATGATGGGTTTTGTTTGTTTGTTTGTTTGTTTCTTTGTTTTTGAAACGGAGTCTCGCTCTGTTGCCCAGGCTAGAGTGCAGTGGCGTGGTCTTGGCTCACTGCAACCTCGGCCTCTCAGGTTCAAGGGATTCTCCTGCCTCAGCCTCCTGAGTAACTGGGACTATAGGCGCCCGCCACCACGCCCGGCTAATTTTTTATATTTTTAGTAGAGACAGGTTTCACCGTGTTAGCCAGGATGGTCTCTATCTCCTGACCTCGTGATCCACCCACCTCAGCCTCCCAAAGTGCTGGGATTACAGGTGTGAACCACCATGCCCAGCCCACAAAATGATGTTTTTAAAAATGTTTTTTAAAGAGTAAATTTTGTTACTTTACTAAAAATACATCCAAATTGTGTAGGATTTGATTTCATATTTGTGTTAAGGAAACACACTATGTTTTCTGTTGAAGGGACCACATTTTGCTTAAAGCTTTCTCTTAACTATGTTTATACTAATACTTAATTCTTGTGGTTAGAAATTTTTTTTACTTTAGTTAAGCATTGTTTTCTTTCTCCTATATTCTTTTGAATTGCAAGTATTCCTGAGAAAGGTAACAATTTAGGTCACTGATTCCTTATCGTGAATATATATTCCCAGATTACATTACAATAACATGGAGAACGAAAGGATTGAGAGGAAAATAAACATTAAATAAAGAAGAAAAATGAAGTGGATGGAGAGTTAAAAAATTCTCCAAAAGGTAACTTAGAAAAACCACTACAGACGAAATTTGTAGGTTGAAAGGGACCTACTAATCTTTTACTATCCCCATCTAATTCTTGAAGCATGTGTGAAAATCTAAACTTTTCCAGTGACAGGGAGCTTTCTTCATTCTGGGGAAATTTATGCCATCTACAATGACTGGGACAATCACTTTATACAGTTACCCTTCATACTGAACTAAAATTTATCACCTAGTAGTTATCCCATTGAGTCCTATTTTTTCACCCACTTGGAATGCTTCCCCACCATAAAGGAAATGACCTGTCCATGACATCCTTCCTTTTCTATAGACTAAATAATTCCATTTATTTTCTTCTGGGATTATGATGCAATCTTCTCATAGCTATTTTTCTTCCGTGGTTGATTTTTGCTAAAGGGTGTGGCCCAGAAAATAAATCTCACCACCTTTGCTAGGACTAATGTTTGCACAGTCAGACTCAGATATTCTCAAATCTACCAAAGGGTAATAACTTATTTTTTATTTTTATGTTTTAATCCATGTGTGGAAGACTTGAAGAAAGCAATATTGGCTGCAAAGCCTTGTGCTGAGAAGGGGGATCTGTGCAATAATGGGATTTCTGGATGCTTTAAAAAAATCAAATTGAACAAGTTCCACAGCTCTCAGGAGCTGTAGATAAACATAAACTTGCAAAGGTGTCAATTACGGACCCAGAAAACAAGATTTAAGATTTGTTCCATTGGTCAAAAGCTAGAATAGGAAT
This sequence comes from Homo sapiens, assembly GCF_000001405.40. Taxonomy (NCBI): domain Eukaryota; kingdom Metazoa; phylum Chordata; class Mammalia; order Primates; family Hominidae; genus Homo; species Homo sapiens. Next base: position 51,218,670 of record NC_000002.12, read on the forward strand.
TAGAATCTAGAATGCAAATACTGAAAAATCTGCGTAGTTCTCTAAAACTTTGTGGAACTTTATGAAACTTTATGGAACGTTTATGGAACTCACCGGTCAACTTCTTGACAATGGTGAGAATATTGGTGTATCAATCTATATGCATTTAGCACTTTTAACATAATCTATTAATGGCTAGGAAGAAAAAACCTCCCAGGAGATATCACTGCTTTTTGTTTTTATTGTTACATTACCTATGACAAGTTCTTTTCCAATACAGAACATAGGAACTATAATCGGGTCTCATAACTAAGTATGCACAATTCCTAGCATCATCATGAAAATTAACCTACGTTATAGGGAGCTCAGTCTGTCCCCAAAGATAGTCAAATGCATGGCATGGTATGTAGTACAGCCTCAATGTGGCATGCTCTTGCTGATCTAAACACATATGACTGACATTTAGTAATTAGAAATTGAGATTAAGGTTTTATCCCATGAAAACATGCAAATTAATTTTGGAAGGATAACCCATTTATCTTTAATAGAAATTTTCACATTGCGGTGAATTATTTGAATAGCATCTTTCCAGACATCACCTTTTGATTGAAGGAAGAAGAGCAGCAGAAAACTGAGGAAATACAAAAAAAGGAAGACTGAGGCCACCAAAAGTAACTTGATTCACTTAGGAAGTTTTTGGGCAGTAAGAATTGTTGCTACCTTTGTCACCGAATACCAAATCTGTGCCCCAAATTCAATTCATGCCTGTCTCTTGTTTAATGTTTCCATTAACATAGTTATTCCTAATGCTCTTTCCCAATTTTCTTTCTCTTTTTTCCTGTTAGTCTCCTTCCTGTAGACTTAGTTCACACCCACGTCTTAAAATTGTCTTTGTTCCATCTTCTCTGGGCCTCTGCCCAGGCCACCCCACGTGTTTGGAATGCCCACATCATTCCAGCTTGATTGCCTCCTTTTCATCTTTGCATCTGAATTCTCTCATATTCTAGACAAAGAGACCTGGGAACTTCATCCTTTATCTCTACCCTGTAAATATTGTGCTTGACTCAACATTTTCTAATCTGGCCACTAGCCATATTTTAATACACTGCAATGCGTTCTTTCTTTGAACTGTTGACTACGCAGTTGTTATTGTCTCCAATTCTCTAGGGAGTTTTTCATTGTAACTATATTAGATCACAGACTCCCAGAAATAAATGTTTAGCTTATATCCAATCAGAATGTCATACCTATGTATAAAAAGAGAAGAATCCTACCTACTCACACATATTTTATTCATCAATTTCCCAATCACATTCCATTCCAAGTGTGAAGGAGGCATTTGAAATACCCATAATAATGGCTCTGGTAGCCTAAGATTTTGTATCCAAAAGACACGGTTAAAAGGAACTCAAATTCCCTGAAAAGAGTCCCATTACCCATTAACAACAAGCAATTGACTGTTAGAGTTGAGTTTATCAGATTATCTGACTGTCAGGTTTCAGAGAGCTCATCCCTCAAAAATGGGACTAAGGAAAAGGAGACGTGAATGTTAGGAAAGAGCACCAGAAATATTCAGAAAATTAGATGTCACTCGGGGACTGTCTTGTTCATAGCCTCTCCTAGTTTTATGCCCACTCAGCAGGTTGGTTATCAATTAAGGGCCAAGCAGGACTGAAAAAATGAGAAGAAATAATGAAGCATTTTATATCAGGAAAACTGAGCATATTAATACACTATAAATGCTCTTTTATATTACTATAATGTAGAAGAAATATAGTGTTTCTACAGTAAATAATGATATTCTTGTATAGGACTCTAGAGTCTGTTTTCCAAGCTGATAAATTTGATTTAATAATTAAAAGTTTAAAAGAGAGAGAGAAGATAGATACTCAGCAGATTACATCATGCAGGGTCCAGGGAATGCTAGAAAATTAGTCTATTCAACCACATTGAGTGTCCTCCTCTTCAGACAACAGTTTCTTTGCAGGTTGACAATGTAGGAGCAATGAAAAAAAAATGAGAAACACAAAACAAAAAGATTTCATGTGTGTTCATGAACTTTAATGACACTTTTGTTTCCAAGAAGGAAGGAAAGGCAGACAATTAGTTACTCTTATGCAATTTCCTGGTACTCTTTTATTGTGCTGATAAATATATCCCTTTTGACAAACTAGATAGTGTATTAGAGTCTGTGATAAAAGCTCTTAAATGTGGATTTCCTTTTCCTCAGGGAACTAGACTACACATTTATTGTTCCTGTTATTGTTCCTCTGAGCAAAAATGTGAGTTTATATAAGAGGAGAGTTCCAAAGGGAAGCTTATTTTCCACTGGGACTTTTTAATTTAAAACATACACACACTTGCGCACACACACACATCCTATTCTGTGGTAGAATTTATAGTAAAAGATGCTTTATGTTCCTCTAAGCTATTAATAATATGTGAGATATCTATAAGTTATATTCTGATGTTCAAGGCACTGAACTATTAAAAGCCATAGTATACATAGAAAATGTTTCAAATATGAAGAAAATAAAGAATAATAGCATCTCCACAGAGTGTTAGCATGCTTTTAAACTTCCCAGCCTTTTGATGTCCATGAAATCTTCATGACAAATATTTAAGATGAAAACTGAGTAGTACTATATCTACTTTGTGTATGAGCAAACTAAGAGATTCACTGACTTACAAGGGTTATAGAGTCAAGTGGCAGATCTGGAGCTAGAAATATTTTTACTGACCCCCCCTGAACAAAAAAGGACAGAATTTTACCTTTGTAATTCACGTTTATTAAAATTTACACATGTATACATTATGCACTTATTTCTATTTTCTTTTTAATGATAATGCATGTTTACTATAGAAAATTTAATGATACAGAAGGGTATGATTAAGAAACAAACTGATTCCACCACCCAATGATAATAATTATTATTATTCTGGAGATAATTATTCCAGTTGTATATAATATAATGTTATATGTAATATGTATAATTATAAATATGAAATTTATTTGTCATACCTCTGGAGGCTGGAAGTCTGAGATGGGTGTGCCAGCCTGGTCAGGTTCTGGTGAGGACCCTCTTCCAGGTTGCAGACTGCTGACTTTTCATTGTTGTTGGTGGGCTGGTTCAGGTTCTTGACTTTCTGCACAAAAGAATTTGAGAGCGAGTCCAAAATAAGAGTAGTCAAAGAAGTTTCTTGCAAAGCAAAAGTACACTCTGAGAGGCAGAGAGGAATGCTCAAAGGGAGAGACAGTCCCTGGTATCTTTAGGGGAGTTCCTTTTATGGGAGCTGTACATACATGTTCATAAAATACTGGTGAGGTCAAGTGTGCAAAGGCGGACCTGCAGTTGGTGCATGCGCTCAGCATCTACATGCTCTACATGTATCATAAGCATAGAAAATTTCCACCTAGGAGTTTGTTTTTTACTATTAAAATGAGGAAAAGACCACTGTGTGCTAAACCTTGAAAGTAGCTGCACATGTAGGAACCCGAAAAAGTCCCTAGCTCCCCTATGACAGGAATTTGCAGTTAATAGCTCTTGGGCTTTTGGTGCTGACTGGCTGGAGATTAGAAAGCTACAACATGAATAAGGGACTTTTGTTCTCTTTCTGGGACCTTACTGGCTATCAGGAACTTGTAATCATCTGGTGGTTGGCTGGTATGCAGCAGAACCACGTATTTTACGAGATAGTTAGGTGCTGATGCATGAAGATGCAAGGGATGCAAAAGGAGTCCACGGGGCTTCACACAAGGGGACAAGTCATTATGACCTCCACACCTTACTTATCCTGCCTCACCATTAGCTAAATCTCTAGCCTCTTCTTATAAGAACACTAATTCTGTTTATGAGGGCTCTACTCTCATGACCTAATTGTCTCCCAAAGGCCCCACCTCCAAATACTATCACATTGAGATTAGGATTTTAACATATGCTTTTTTTTTTTTTTTTTTTTGAGATGAAGTCTCACTCTGTCACCCAGGCTGCAGTGCAGTGGCACGATCCCGGCTCCCTGCAGCCTCTGCCTCCTGGGTTCCAGTGATTCTCCTGCCAAGTAGCTGGGATTAGAGGCACATGCCACCACACCCAGCTGATTTTTGTATTTTTAGTAGAGATGGCATTTCACTATGTTGGCCAGGCTGGTCTTGAACTCCGGACCTCAAGTGATCCGCCCGCTTCAGCCTCCCAAAATGCTGGGATTACAGGCGTGAACCACCGCACCCAGCCAACATATGAATTTTTGAGGAACACGAACATTCAGTCCATTGCATGGAGGGAAAGAACTATTGACTCAGTGGTATATTAGACATATCAGTTGAGAAGACTTAGTTTCAAGAATTAGAAAATGTTAACTTACCTGGGGTAAGCAATAAAAAGATTTATTACCCAGTAATTAGCATTATCAAGACTTCAAGTTCTTTCTATTTTTATATTCTTTCATCAGCAGAAAAACTCACTTCTTTCATTCCTCTCATGGCACCACAAATGCAATGCAAGAAGGTATCTCTCTTGTATCTTTTATCTATCTTTTTATAGAAAATCATAGCTAGCTAGCTAGCTACTGAGATAGAGAAATATAACAAGACAAAAAGCAAAGCATGTGAGAAGAGACACAGAAAAAATGAGAAGAAAAAGAGAGAAAAAGGAAGGAAGCGCCTGAAAGAAGAAATAGGTAACTTTTCCCTAGGCATTAGACCTTTTATTAGTTATCACAAGTAGTCTAAGTGAATAATAAAGGTCTAGTATACAAGAATGAGGCCACCATACATGGAGGACATGGAACTGTGATGATGTCCCAGTGGAGGACGTGGAACATAATCCCATGTATGTCCCAGTGGAGAATGTGGAACTGTGATTACATATATGCACAGTATTTCTTCTCTTGGAAAGGAGGCATCAAAAAGGGGATAGGCAAAATTGAAAGCTTTCTATTACGGGTAGAATGTTGTCTTCTGAATACTCCTCTATTTTACAGAATTTTACATTGTTAACCCATTGTTCTAAGGCATCAAGTCTATAATAACACAAGAGCTGTGGATGTCTTCCTTTGGGGAAGAAATGAGAGTGTCTCAGGGAAGTCCTTCCACCCTTAAAAACCATTCCCTTCAAAATAATTGGTCCCCTTGTGACTTCCTGGGTCCAGATATATAGACAGTTCTGCTCTTACAACAGAAGCCACTTGATTAGGCTTTAATCATGTTATTTAACCACAATTGGCAGAATTTAAAAACTGCCATTGTAGTGTCCACCTCAAATTATAACTACTTATGTTATTCAACATAGCTCGCCAGATGTAATCAAATAAGCACCACATATATACACGGTAATGAAGACTGCCCCATGTTTCCTTTTCTCACAAATGTGTAAGTCGTAGGAAATTGAGGTGCAAATGTCTTTCAGTTTAATCTCAGTTTCTTACTGAATTCAACTCAGTCAGAGGATCTCACTCAGAATAAGTAGTACAGTGAGTACAGTCACTTCAGCGGCTATAGACTAGACTGTTTTCCACTGGGATGGTGTATTAGGGTTACCACAACATAATAACAGACTGGGTGCCTTAAACAACGGAAACGTGTTTCCTTACAGTTCTGAATGATAGAAGCTCATGATCAAGGTGTCTGCAGGTTTGGTTTCTCCAAGGCTTCTCTCCGTGGTTTGCAGATGGGTGCCCTCTCTTTCTCTGTGCGTGTTCATCCCTGGTGTCTTTTTTTTTTTTTTTTTTAAGACAGAGTCTTGCTCTGTCACCAGGCTGGAGTTCAGTGGCACAATCTCGACTCACTGCAGCCTCCACCTCCTGGGTTCAAGCAATTCTCTTGCCTCAGCCTCCCAAGTAGCTGAGATTACAGGCGCATGCCATCATGCCTGGCTAATTTTTTGTATTTTTAGTAGAGGCAGGGTTTCACCATGTTGGCCAGGCTGGTCTCGAACTCCTGGCCTCAAGTGATCTGCCCGCCTTGGGCTCCCACAGTGTTGGGATTACAGGCATGAGTCACTGCTTCTGGCCATACCTGGTTTCTTTTTGTCTAATTCTTTGTTCTTGCGAGAACAATAGTCAGATTGGATTAGGGTCCATGTATATGACCTCATTTAACTTTAGCCATTTCTTTAAAGACCCTATGTCCAAATACATTCATATTCTGAGGCACTGGGGATTAGCACTTCAAAATATAAAATTTGGGGACATACAATTCAGTCCACAACAGATAGGTATAGCTTTTCCAGAAAATGCAAGGTTTTGAAAATCTTAACAAACTAGGAATCTAAGTGCTAAATTTCCTCACACAGGCAAAAATAATATTTCCTAATTTCCCTCAGTTGCCAAATATCCTCCAAGCTTTCCAAGCTGAGGTTTGAAAATTACTCAACTTGTAGGTTACTTCAGTTTGTTTTCTTCCACATGTAGGTTTAAGATCCTTTATTCTTGAATTTTATTTTTCCTAACATAGTTGTTTAAATTCTTTCACAAAGTTTCCCTGTAATAAGAGAAATAAAGTCCTAGATACCTGCCTTTGCTCAAAGCATCAATTATTTAAGACTGTCAATTTTCAGCTTTCTGACAAGAACACATCTATGACAAAAATAGATTACCATCAATCCAATGTTTAATCCAGATGTATTCTTGAGTTATTAGGATCCCCCCTTTCTCCTCCTTTTCTTTGGACCTTTTTTAGGGTCTGGAAACCATTCACAAACATACTGTTTTACTGTCATAGTCACACTCTGCCTTCCACTGCCAATATCATCATCACTGTAAAATTTTTCTAGTAATGCCTGAAAGATCTCCCCTCAGATATTTATACATTTTTACCACCTTTTATATCCTAGTCACCAAGAGGGAGTTCTCAAATTGTACCTTTTGTTGACTCACCATCCGTAGACATCAGAGGGCATTCTCATAGCTTCCTGGATCTGGGCTGTTTCTGATGACGTCATTGAAGTAGATCTCCTTGTCCTCAACCTTCTAATCTCCTTTCTAGGCCTTCGTGTTGCCTTGCAAGCCATTTGTCATTGCCCACATTTGCATGTTTATTTCCATCCAAATTAGAGGATTAAGTGTATTACTTCAAGTTCTGCCCACCTAGAGGACTTCTCATTACCACTGTCTCTGAATGGAAATAGGGTAGCAGAAATACATGTTAGGATTACAGAGATGGGTCATGCTGACCTGGCAATGAATCAAGCATGGTATTTTCCCATCTCTTTTAGCTTACATCTGCACTGTGTGATTTGATAGGGAAGCACCAGAGAAGCAGCAATGGGATTTGGGATATTTGCTTATGTAGCTTACTTCTAGCTTTGCTCATGCCTCATTCTGGATGTTCCACTTCCATCTTAAAATGAATTGCTTCTGGACCTCCCTTTTTGTATGATTTAACTCAAAATCAGTAGCTCTGGCTGCGTAGTTACTTGATACTTCATTACCAGGTACATTGTCTCTACCCAGGCCCAAATAGATGAAACATTTTTGCTAAATAACCCTAGAGTTCTACCTTGTGATTCTATTGTTTGCCCTTGCCATTAACTCTACATCGCACAGACTCTTCTAAAACAATATGCTGGGACTACCACAGTGCATGCCCAAATGGCAGGGCTGCTTACATGAAACTACTGATAAGCCATTTCCTTCTTAGGATTCTAGTCAAAATTGGCAACTTTCCTTGCTTTCAATAAATGGGTTGGAGCAATATTCTCAAGTATGAAATGTGCTACCTTCGTATATCTCGAAGAGTCCTAACATATAATTTCTTTTTACTGGTGGGAATTTTGAGTGCAATAATTTGTCTCTTACCATGAAGTAGATGTCTTAGAAGACCCTAGACTATAGGACTCCTAAAAACTTCACTGATATGACAGACCATCCTCAGGAGCTCATATGTCTTATCAAAATCTCCAATGTATTCACCACTTTTTGATCATCTGGTTTGGTTAACATGATGTGTTCAATATAGTATAACAATATGTCATTCTGTAAAATATCTAGATAATTCCAGTCCTTTTGAACGGCATTTGGAAGGAGTGCAGGAGCCTAAGAACAAGACTAGAAAACATATATTCTTGCTTTTCTCATATAAATGTTAACTATTTATGGTACTTTTTTTGAGAGAGATGGAAAAGAGTACCTTCACCAGATCAGTGGCAATATACCATGCACGTAAGGTTGTATTTCTATACTCTAGCAAAGATGTGTGGCATCAAGCCTGCAATTTGGCGTATTATGTGGGTGGGTTTGTATAGACTAATGTCATCCTCCATAATCCAACTTGTTCTTGTACAGGCCTGGTTGGTAAATTAAATAGGTATGTTATAGTAAATGCTACCTCCACATCCTTCCCACTGGGATGTTACATTGTTTCTTATTTAAAATCTTATTCTGAAATGGAGGACAGGTTTAAGGGATTCCATTTGATTTTGCCTATTAGAATAGTTCTTTCTCCATAGACCAAGGAACCAGTGTAAATGTCTGGCCTATTCCCAAAGATGTTCATTTCAGTTATACATTTATGTACCTTGAAAGTGACCACTGGACCTAGTAAACCCAGTGTGAATTGGACCTCAGTTTAGACTCTTCTTTATTCCCTGTCTTCCATACTTTTCCATTCTAACAAGGTGTCTATGATAATGTCTTATATTCCCCGGTATTAATTGTCAACACAGACCCTCAGTCTGATGGTGTCAAAATATCTAGGTATCACCTTTCTCAAGTGCATGGGTATCTGAGTAAAAGTCTATATGACTCTTTGGAGAAGGGCAGAATTGTTTTATTACACATACATATTTGCCATATTTATGCAGGGCCCTTTCTCATGAATCATTGGCCTCCTCACCAGTTAATGGATCCTAAGTCTGAGAACTGGCTCAGATATGGAAACTGGGTAAGTGATCATGACTTTATTGGAGCAGCTGCCTTCAGCCTCCTGATGATCAGTCATTGACTGATTCTGGTAATAGAGATGGATCGATAACCTTTTTAACTGCCCATCTAATATGCTCCTGGGAGTGCAGTGTTCCATTAAACATCTCTATAGTTCTCTACAAGTGGGGCACTTCTGACTTCCACTCTGACCTACTGCCTAATACAATAATTGCACCTATCTTGCTTCTGATTGTTAAGCACCATCAAGCAGCCTCTATTTTTTGAAATCCAATCATTGCCATTGTTACAAGGAACCTAAGTCTGTAGCCACATAATCTGCTTCAACTCTTACTTACAAAAGAGAGTCACCATTGAACTTAAAAATACCTGTTCTTCATTTTATCAAACCATTCCTTACTGCTTTGGTAAACGCAGCACCTTCAGGGTCCTACGTCAACAAAGTTACTTAGTGAGATTTTTGACCATTATACGGTATATTTATTCTATTATTCACAATTCCTTGAGAATTTTGATTCCTTATCCATTTGTAACAACTTTCCTGGCATTTGTATCTCAGGTCATTGATTTTCCTGAACGTGCAACAAGCACTATGGTAGTATATTTGTGTCATCTCCCAGGGTCTTTTTTAGGATGTTAAATGCTCAGGTTAGTGCTACTATAGTAATATAATCTTTGAGATCAATTTCTACTCTTTCATCATTATTCAGCATCCTGAGGATCCAGTCCCATATGTATTCTACTGGCTCCTGCTGGTGCACGCAGGCTAGGTCCTGAAGATCCTTCAGCATATAGTGCCTTTCCTCCCATAGGAGGCTCTGTACTTATAAGTACTTCTTATCCTTCCTTAGAAGGCTCTGTTTGCACTGGCCTGGTGGTATGTGACTTGACCCTAGTTACTAGTCCATTGGTTGAAAGAGGAAGGAAGTGAGAGTAGATCTTAATGAAAGAAAGAGATGTACGTACTTCCAAGGCAGGCACTTCTGTATTAATTTTAAGCAAGTGAGAGATGTTCTAGCCTTTTACAAAGAGAAAGAACTACTTCTACAGCCCCCTAGTTTCTGGGGATTAATGACTTTCAAGGGTATTATCGCAGATATCCCCATTCTGAAGATCCCACTATTCCCAATCTAGGCCCTAACCTTAGCATAGCAGACATGCCATGGTTGAGAATTAAATCTTTTTTGGAGCTCTGACACTCTTATAATTATGTTCTAGGCTGGGCGCGGTGGCTCACGCCTGTAATCTCAGCACTTTGGTAGGCTGAGGCAGGTGGATCACCTGAGGTCAGGAGTTCGAGGCCAGTTTGGCCAACATGGCGAAACCATGTCTCTACTAAAAAACCCAAAAAATTAGCCAGGCATGGTGGCGTGCACCTGTAATCCCACCTACTCAGGAGGCTGAGGCGGGAGAATTGCTTGAACCCTGGAGGCAGAGGTTGCAGTGAGCAGAAATCATATCATTGCACTCCAGCCTGGGCAACAAGAGCAAAACTCCATCTCAAAAATAAATAAATAAATAAATATGTTCTAGAACTAGTGTTCAGGTTTATTGACCTGCAGCTGCAGGAGAGAATGTTTTTTTAAAAGTTGAAATTAGCCCTCTGGCTTTCATGCTTAGCCTTGTATTAGAGATCAATTACCTGAAGCCTTTCAGTATTTTTTTCCAATCCATCAATGATTCCATACATCTATACCTATTATTTTCTTCCAAGCTCTCTAACAACTCTGATACTATACTTATGAGTACATTTCCATCACCTGATATCATCCTAGTTCACTACTAATGAATTTTCTGACACTGCATCATAAATGCATGTGCAAGGCTATTAGTGTTTCACTTAACATCAGTGATAGCATCATCATCGCCAACCAGCCAGTGATCCAGACCCAAATGCCTATGCTTTCTAGAATAATTTCTGGTGCCAAGTACCATGGATTCAACTAACTGGAAAATATACTTAGAGACTCTGAAATTTGTGTGCAGAGGGCTTTTGGGGGAGTGAGCTCAGTAATAACATCACTGAGGCAGGCAGAGTGCAGGACTGGGTAGAAAAAGAAGTTGAACTGAGAAGTCATTGCAAAGGAGACCTCAACTAATTCCATGGAGCGTACTGGAGCTGGGATGCCCCTTTAGAGTCTTTCTGAATTCCAGCAAGAAGCAGGGCCTCAGAACCCATACCATAACCACCTGTTGCATGCAGAATACCTTTAGGGAGGAAAGCAACCTTCACTGAGTCAGCTTTATACAAATGTGCATTATTTCCATAGAGAAACACTGCTATGAGCTATCAGCAATTAACATTCTGAGTACTTGAAGGAATGAGTGTATGGGCCCTAAAGATCACTCTAGGTGGCCTGCAATAATGTCCATGGCTTTATTTGATAATAACAAGAAATGATTTCCAATTTCATCCATGTCCCTACAAAGGACACGAACTCATCATTTTTTATGGCTGCATAGTATTCTATGGTGTATATGTGCCACATTTTCTTAACCCAGTCTATCATTGTTGGACATTTGGGTTGGTTCCAAGTCTTTGCTATTATGAATAGTGCCGCAATAAACATACGTGTGCATGTGTCTTTATAGCAGCATGATTTATAGTCCTTTGGGTATATACCCAGTAATGGGATGGCTGGGTCAAATGGGATTTCTTGTTCTAGATTCCTGAGGAATCACCACACTGACTTCCACAATGGTCGAACTAGTTTACAGTCCCACCAACAGTGTAAAAATGTTCCTATTTCTCCACATCCTCTCCAGCATTAGGAGGTATTCCTAAAGCTAAATGACGAGTTAATGGGTGCAGCACACCAGCATGGCACATGTATACATATGTAACTAACCTGCACGTTGTGCACATGTACCCTAAAACTTAAAGTATAATAATAATAGTAATAATTTAAAAAATAAAACAAAAAAGAAAGAGAATGATACGAGGAAAGTTAACAGTTTCTGAAAAAGATGTTTAAGACTTGTCAGTTCTGAAAAAATCTAGGAAAGAACAAGAGTGTGCTGAAATTTCTTGCTCATTCTGCTAATTGAAGGCATAGTACAGAATGGAACCTTGGCATAGGGGAAAGTGAAATCCTAGGGAATAGTTTGAGTATTACCATGAAATACTAGGCTTCAGTTCAAGGAGGAAGGTAACAGAAAAGCCACTGAGAAGATAGTGGAGTTTCTTCTCATTAAGACAAGGATAAATTTGTCAGAGACATGTCATGAGAGAAAATAGCATAGGTGAATTTACGTAACAGCTAGAGTTGATCAATATTATCAATAATACAGTCTAGTTTGTTAAATGCATTTACAAACCAGGGACTGTATTCTTGGGATTGGAAAAATAAAACTCAGATCAAGATAAGTTATGTAATTGTAGTCACAGAGCAAGTAAGAGTTAATATGAAAATTATACTAATTTTGTTTGTACTATACTTCTTATTACAGACTGAAATATCCTGCAGTTTGAGTGTAAGATAGTAATTATGAAAAACAAGCATAAATGATGAAAGAGGCAAGAGATTGAGTCTGAGACCAGAGGCCCATGTCAAAATGAGTCATAAGAAGGAACAGGGTTGAACAGACTGAGGTTTTTAAACTTAATGGCCTCAGTGTTCCAAATGTGGCTGCAAATGGTGACAGGATGTCGGGATACACAATTGTTGACTTGAAGCTCTATGAAGAAACTTTGGAAAGATCTCTGAAATTGGAGTTTTTTTTAAGCTTAGTCTTTTATCACATGATCTTTGGATAATATTTCTGTTTATGAGCTGAAGTAAATTTAAACAGGAAACTTTACAATTTTCTTGGTGATTACACAGCAGTAATTTCAGGACTGTTTTCCTTAGGAATCCGGATGGTAATTACTAAAACTCCAAAGCTAATTATGTTGTTATGCTAGTGAGACTGTAGCTATGGATGAGAAGTCTTTTCCATTTGCAGGCTTGATTTGTAAGCATCGTAATTGTACTTTCACCCTAAACCATTCCACTCCTACTTCCCACCCCCTAGGAGTAAAGGGAAGCAATAATTCAATTGAGATGTCCCTTTGGAGAGGGAGATTTTGTTTAAAAAAAATATTTAGTCAGAACAGAAAATAGTTTTTCTTTTTTAAAAAAATAGGCAATCAATCCATATATACATCATTTGATAAATGCTAAAAACACCCAGATGCTTTATTTAAAAATGGCAAACTGGGTTTCCAAAAGGATTGAGACCTCTTTAACAAGGCAGAGCTAAATAGACTGTGAGTAAGTTCTATTAAGTAAATAATCAAAAATGGCATTGTTGTGAAGAGCTAATATCTGACAGCTCACATGAGTAGGATGCTGTTTCTATAAGCTGTTAAGTGTGCAATGAGGTGAGCCTTCAAATATACAAGCATGTAAATATAGTTGGACAAGCAGCGTATCTAAAGCATCTCACATTGAAGCAAAGTCAGCTGTGTATTTCAACAATTGTAGTATTTTAACAATACTACATTTAGGTAAACAAAGCAAATTTGTTTAAAAAATAAATAGAATGTCACAAATGCAGATAAATAAGCATGTATTTAAATGGGCTATTAGGGTTTTTTCTTCTCCCCCAGTTGTTCTCTTCTAAAACAAGAAGGAGAAATTAAACACATCTAAGGCAGCCCTGTAACAAAGAATGTAAATGGCCAGATGTCAAGACATGCCAAATTAAAGCTGACACAGCAAAATCAGTTGTGCTACTTATCTTGTAACTTCACGGAAATAGGACACAGTCATATCTTTTGGAAAATGGGAAGCAGTTCTAATCTTGCCTCCAGGGCACACTTACTTTGTGACCTTGGGCAAGGTTACTGATATTGCACTGTTTCTTAGTTCTCACATTTAAAATAGGGAAAAATAGGTTTTAACACTGATGATAGGAAAAAAAGATAACACCTTTTGTTATAGTTAGAAATATTTGCAGTCCAAAAATACTGAAAAAAAGAAAATAGGATTTGATTTGTAACATTTCTAAATCTGTGGTAATAGCACAGTCCCCAGTGGTAAAATTTTATAGCAAAATGGTACTGAGGTATACTTAAAATATGTCTATAACACATACATTTTGGTGAACAGTGCTAGGCTGGAGAAACCCTGAATTCTTTCTTTGCAGTGACTTTGGGCAGATGTTTGCTTTCAATCTTGCTTTTGTTATTTACCAAACTTCTTGACTTTTCACAGAACATTTTACTTTTTAATATTTCATTTCCTAATCTCTCAGAATTTTAGTTGCTCTGCCTGTAAATTGAGAATAACAACACTAATCTCACAGACTTGTGAAGAATCAAACAAGATAACGAGAGTACTGAAGCTGTCCTCATAGGCTTAACAGTGAATTCTGGACAGAACCATTTGCATTCCCATTATTCCTATAGATAGGATTTCTGACTTTAGAATTATAAGTCTTCTGTTTAAGAACTAATTTGCATCCCCATTGTTCTTATAGATAGGATCTCTGATGTTAGAATCATAAGGCTTTTGTTTAAGCAGTGCTTAACACATTTTTAAGATACTGAATCCCAGCAGAATGGCTGATGCCAACCAGTTCAAAGAACCCCCACAAAGGAACTGCATCAGAATGAGAACAGTTTCTTCATCTCCCTATCTGTATTAGTCCATTATCACACTGAAGATATACTCAAGACTGGGTAATTTATAAAGGAAAGAGGTTTAATTGACTCATAGGTCCACAGGACTAGGGAAACCTCCGGAAACTTACAATCGTGGCAGAAGGGGAAGAGAACACATCCTACCTCACATGGTGGCAGGAGAGAAAGGTGCTGAGTAAAGTGGGAAGAGCCTCTTATAAAACCACCAAATCTTGTGAGAACTCACTCACTATTATGAGAACAGCAGCATGGGGGTAACTGCCCCATGATTCAATTACCTCCCACTGGGTCCTTCCCATGACAAAAAAGGATTATGGGAACTACAATTCAAGATGAGATTTGGGTGGGGACACAGCCAAACTATATCATTCCACCCCAGGCCCCTCCCAGATCTCATGTCTTCACATTTTAAAACACAATCATGCCCTTCCAACAGCATTAACCCAAAGGTCCAAGTTCAAAGTCTCATCTGAGACAAGGTAATTCCCTTCCACCTATAAGCCTATAAAATAAAAAACAAGTTAGTTACTTCCTAAATACAATGGAAGTACAGGCATTGGGTAAATACACCCATTCCAAATGGGAGAGATCGGCCAAAACAAAAGGGCTACAGGCTCCATGCATATCTGAAATCCGATGAGGCAGTAAGTAAATCTTAAAGCTCCAAAATAATCTCCTTTGACTCCACGTCTCACCTCCAGGTTATGTTGAAGTAAGAGGTGGGCTCCTACAGCCTTGGGCAGCTCCACCCCTGTGGCTTTTCAGGGTGCAGCCCCCCTCCCAGCTGCTTTCACAGGTTGGCATTGAGTGTCTTTGGATTTTCCAGGCACACGGTGCAAGCTGTCAGTGAATCTACCATTCTGGGGTTTGGAGGACTGTGGCCCTCCTCACAGCTCCACTAGGCAGTGCCCCAGTGGGGACTCTGTGTGGGGGCTCCAATGCCATATTTCCCTTCTGCACTGTCCTAGCAGAGGTTTTCCATGAGGGCTCTGCCCCTGCAGCAAACTTCTGCCTGGACATTCCAGGCATTTTCATAAAACTCTGAAATCTAGGCAGAGGTTCTCAAGCCTTAATTCTTGGCTTCTGTGCACCTGCAGGCTCAACATCACATGGAAGCTGCTAAGGCTTGGGGTTTGTATCCTTTAAGCCATGGCCAGGAGTGTACCTTGGCCCCTTTTAGCAATGGCTGGGGTGGGTGGGACATAGGACAAGTCCCTAGGCTGCACACAGCAGGGGGAGCCCTGGGCCCTGCCTACAAAACCATGTTTTCCTTCTAGGCCTCTGGGCCTGTGATGGAAGGGGCTGCCATGAAGGTCTCTGAAATGCCCTGGAGACATTTTCCCCATTATCTTGGTGATTAACATTCTGCTCCTTTTTACTTTTGCAAATTTCTGCATCAGGCTTGAATTTCTCCCAGGAAAATGGGCTTTCCTTTTCTATTGCATCATCGGGCTGCAAATTTTCCAAACTTTTATGCTCTGCTTCCTCTTGAACACTTTATTGTTTAGAAATTTCATCTGCCAGATACCCTAAATCATCTCTCTCAAGTTCAAAGTTCCACAGATCTCTAGGGCAAGGGCAAAATGCTGCCAGTCTCTTTGCATTGCAAGAGCAACCTTTCCTCCAGTTCCCAACAAGTTTCTTATCTCCATCTGAGACCACCTCAGCCTGGACTTTATTATCCATATCACTATCAGCATTTTGGTCAAAGCAATTCAATAAGTATCTAGGAAGTTTCGAACTTTCCCACATCTTCCTGTCTTCTTCTGAGCCCTCCAAATTGTTCCAGCCTCTGCCTGTTACCCAGTTCCAAATTTGCTTCCACATTTTTAGGTATCTTTACAGCAGCACTCCACTCTCCAGTACCAATTTATTGTGTTAGTCCATTCTCACACTGCTATGAGGAAATACCCAAGAATGGATCACATAAGAAGGAAAGAGGTTTAATTGACTCACAGTTCCACAGGGCTGGGGAGGCCTCAGGAAACCTACAATCTTGGCAGAAGGGAAAGCAAACACATCCTTCTTCACATGGCAACAGGAGAGAAAAGTGTCAAGCAAAGGGAGAAAATCCTCTTATAAAACCATTAGATGTCATGAGAACTTACTCACTACCATGAGAACAACATGGAGTAGGGTAACCACCCCCATGATTCAGTTACCTCCCACTGCATCCCTCCTATTACATGTGGGGATTTGGTGGGGACACAGCCAAACCGTATCACTATCCCATGACTTCACCCTGCACTCTGATCAATCAATGATCTCCACACTTTGGCCCACTCCAAAACCCTTGTAATCTCTAGCCCCAAACTCCTCTAGGAGACAGATTTGAGGTTTCCTCCCATCTCCTCATTCAGTGGCCCTACAATTAAACCTCTTTCTCTGCTGCAAACTGGTATCTAGGCATATTGACTTGCCATGCTCACTGGGCAAGGCATCTATTGTGCTTACAGTACTTACCATATGCAGAACATTTTCTATAATTACCACATGCAATTCAATAGGAAAACTAAATATTATAGTAGTTCAAATCATTTCTTAAAATTCAAGGTAAACTGCAATCATCATTGTCCTAAATTTTTAATCTTTTACCCCCATCTATCAACCCTGAACAACAGACAGCAATATCCAGAACTAACCTGCATTAATATTGGTTGCTTCTGACTGTGTTTTTGCTTTTACGTTGCAAAATAAAATTGCTTCTGTAGTGGATAATCACCTCGAGTAGTCTTTATTAATATTATCAGTAAATTATTTATTTTTATTTCAAAGTAACTTATTTTTGCACCTAGTAGTCTCCTAATAAAAATATGAGCATTACCTGATTAATTCATCCAAGCAAAATATGATCTGATCAGCTGTATTCCAGATGCATTTATATGGTATGAGAAAATCTGAATTTGAAGGATATTCACTAGGTGACATTTGACTTTGCAGCATTTATATGTCTTATTGATAAGGCACTGATGATTAGGGTTGCTTTATGACCTAGTTGTATTTTAGAAAGAGATAACATTATTAAAAGAAAAGAAAAAAATGATCAAAGGTCAGGGTTTTGGGTGTGGGTGAATGTGGTAGATTAATTCTCAAGCAATTACCCTAATTCATTTCACACTTATTATACTGAAAATATATTGAATAAGTACTTTTAGAACATCCATGACATACTTCAGTATCCCTGAAACTACAAATGGTGAAAAACTTTCAGATCACTCATGGTTTTGTTATTTAAGCTTTGTGAAACTCAAAGATTTATAAAAATGTCGTTAATGGATTTCTTTTCATCAGAATTACATGTCTAATATTGTATTCTAAATTACAGTTCTCCATTACAATGAGGTTTTAGCTCTAAGTGCTATTTCATAATTATGAGTTGTTTTTCATGAACTCCTATGTAAATTTTTTAAAATGACTGAGACAAATTCATTTTCCAGGAATTTGTATTTATTTTTGTTAATTTCAATATACAGGAAACGTTTTATAGAAAATTTTTATGTCAGTAGAAAAACTAAGAGAATTATGATTCAGGAACATTAGCAATCACTAAAAAAATTTTTTTTAGGCTTTACAGTAAGATATAACTCTCCTTTCTATTGATTTTTAAATTTTCATATAAAACAGAAAATGAAGAAATGCGTGGTTGAATTGTGAAGGGAGAAGTCATAATTTTGGCATTCAGGATGGCTAATTAATGACTGGTTAGATATATGAAGGATTTTGAGCATATAAACACTAAACATGGGCTCTACTGATCTGTATTCAAGTTCACTGATTCTGCCATTTCACATCTGGTGAAATTTTCATTTGCTAATTGCCATTCTTAGCTCTAAGATGTCTATTTGGTTTTTAGTTTCCATTTATGTAGTGAGAGTCTATGCTTCTTTACTCACTATTTGGACATTTGTCTTTAATTCTTTGAACATATTTAAAATATCTGTTTTGATGCTTTTGCCTGCTTAATCTAACATCTGAGCCCACAAGAAATCTGTTTCTATTGATTACATTTCGTTTCTTGGGTATGGATTGCATTTTTCTATTTCTTTGCCTTTCTAGTAGTTTTTGGTTAAAAATTAGAAATTGTAGATATTTTGCTGTAGCAACTCTATGTGGTAAAATTCTTACTGCTAACATTTGATTGTCTTGAAATAACTTACATTATGCAAGCTATGAAAAGGACATTGGGTATGAGGCTTGGAGCAGAACAAAAAACTTAGAATTCAGGAGGCAATAAATTAAGATCCAGGGAATTGGGTAAAATTGGACAACTGTGCTGCTTCTGAGAAATAATACAGCACAGTATTAAAGAGTGGAAACTATAGTAATGTAACTCTTCAAATTTCTGCTCCAGCATCTACAAGTCATGTCATCTAGGATTCCAAGCTTGATTTTTTTTCATCCATAAAACCATGTAACACTTTTAAGCATATTTGAGTATTCAATACATCTTGGCTTTTCCTACCATTATTATTATTTTTGTTTCCATTAAAACACCACAGAAATACTAAGGGACAATTAAATGAGTAGATATTTTCAGTAAAATAAATATAAAATCATGGTTCTTGGATCAATTCATTATTGCAACTACCCAGATCAAAGGTTATTCATTAGAATCATGGACTGGAGGCTTTCTGGTTTGCTGGAAAGCCCCAAGTAGAGACTTTGTCCAGGGACTTACAGGCATGGACATTGATTTCTCTTTCCAGGTGAGAATGTGACCTTGTTGGTGCTGTGTTTGGCTCAGGAACTGGGCAAGCCTCAAATGAATAAATACTTATCTTTCTTTTAAAAATAATTATGGAAGCTTTGTGTTGCCAACCAATTTCTTCTTATATTTGTCAAGATCCTGACTTACTCTAGGTGTCATTGGCAGCCACTTCCCACCCATTAAGCACTGTGAGGATCAATGAACCATTGTTCATTGCACCAAGAAGTGAAGCTTTTTATGGCCCCTGGATTTTGTAATATTTGGTATCTTACTCTGTGTGTGCTCTCTTCTCACTAACACAGAATCCATGTGGAAAAAAATGGACACTGTTGGTTTTTTTAGCTATCCAATGATAAAATTTATATCATTAAAAATATGTGAAATTCCTGCAGTCATGACCCACTTGGCAGTAATATAGTGTTCAGAGTAGGCTCTTTAGAGTCTGTAAATGTGTATCTCCAAACGTAAATGTTTATTTGTATAAATACATACCTGTGGGCTTATATGAATGTGGTCAAAACATTTCATTATTCTGCTTTCCAGAAAACACTAGGTGTTATTTCAGTTTTTAGATTTATCTCATAAAACTGTCAGTGCTTTCCATATAATTGGTAATTAACTCTACCTTCCTCTGGTAAGCATTTAAGGCCACAATCATGATGATACATTTACTTATATAATTATGCCTCAATATACAAATGGAAGAATGGTTCTAAATTTACTTAAGCAAATAATATAATTGGCTGCAAACGCTATAAAGCAGAGTCAAACACCAAAATTAACAGATATGTAAGAATTGAAGGAAAGTTAATGGGCACACTTTTGTCAGAAATAAAACACAAACTCAAGATAGTATTTGTTAGTCAATGTGCTACTTCTGTGAGGGATGGTTGCCAGTTGGCAAATTTTACTCCTTTTGCATACAAAAGCAACTACTGTAAATTTTTCAAATTGTATAAAGTTATCAGGAAAGACAATTATTAAAAGATTAATGCTGATGTCATTGATGCTAAATGCAACATATATTTGAACAGTAGTAAGAATGAATGCTCATTGAAAGATTCAGACGTTACACATAATATTCACTATACATTTAAATATATGTGTGTATGTTTAGGCGTCTGTGTGTTTGTTTATGTAGACTCTAATGATAGCTTGGACACTAATTAATATAAAAATATAAAAACTGCTCTAATCCCTTCCTCCTTCCCTCTCTACTTTAATCATTTAATGTCTTACCATATTCTGTTATCCATAATAAAATCCTTCCCTGAGTACTGGAATCCATATAAAGTATGGTTACCAAAGATAAAGTGGACATCAAAGTTATTGATAAGAATAAAATTTGAATCATGTTCCCATCACTTATTATCTGAGTAACATCAAACTAGTTACTAAAACCCCCAAGCATCAGTTTTTTTTATCAGTAAATTGGGATAAAAATACATGTTTATATATATATAAAACATATATACATGTTTATATATGTATAAAAATACATGTTTACATATGCACAAAATACATGTTTATATGTATTCTTAATACATATAAGATGGGAAATATATGGCAAGTCCATGGATCAATGCCTGGAACATATAAAGATTTCAATAACAGGTAGTTATTATGGTTGATGTTTATTAGTTCCAGAAAACATCACCTCAGTGCTAAATTATTCCTTACTTCATGTTTTTGTTTTGTTTTCATCTGATTCATAAAACTTTTTAAATAAATTTTTTCATTATTTTTAAGAATAAACACACTAATAGGCTCACAAAACTCAATACGTCCTTTTTGGTTGAGTAAAGGCAAATAATTTTGACGATTGAAAGAATCATAGAAATGAGATCGAGAGCATCCTGGCTAACATGGTGAAACGCCGTCTCTACTAAAAATACAAAAAATTAGCCGATCGTGGTGGCGGGCGCCTATAGTCCCAGCTAGTCGGAAGGCCGAGGCAGGAGAATGGCGTGAACCCGGGAGGCGGAGCTTGCAGTTAGCTGAGATTGTGCCACTGCACCCCAGCCTGCCTGGGCGACAGAGCGAGAGTCCGTCTCAAAAAAAAAAAAAAAAAAGAATCATAGAAATGATCTATTTTTTTTCTCTCTTTTTCAGATGGTATGGGAGATTTTAGATTCAAGTGACTTGCTCAAAGGGACGTTTTTTGTGATAAACCATAACAGTAGATTCCAGGTTATCTGATCCTTGGACATTGCTATTTCTACTCTTATACATAACTTTATATTCTGTATAAACGTATGAAATTATATATGTACATCTTTATTTTTATAGTTATAATTTAAGCGGCAAATGATGTTTTCTACAAATAAATCTGCCTCAAAGAAATTAAAACACACTTTCTATTTACTGTAAAAATTCAAAAGTATCTGTTTACTTCATATTAGACCTTTGAAAACTGTATCCAAGACAGGGAAGGATCCGATTCCACCTGTAAGACAAATTCCTTTGCCATCATTACTCATCTACTGACTTCTCGCTCTATGGTTATGGAAGGATGATCTTATTATGGGGAAGTGAGAAAATTGCCATCTGCTCAGTTTTTTTTTTTTTTTTTCAAGAAAAGGCACAACCCTTTCTTTTCTGTTTATGATGGTTTTAGCTATCATTAATTTTTACTGACTGTTTCTAAGTTTAAACACCTAATTCTGCACATATCAAGAAAGTAAGGCACCCACTATTTTAAAATATTATCTTAGAAGTTTTAAATGAGTAACACTAAAATTTTACACATTTAATATTAATTAATGGAAGATTTTTTTCTCCTGTGAAAAGAGTATACACTCAATACACAGACTATTGAGTGTGTGTGGTGTGTGTATTTTCTCTACTCCAATAAGAGATTGCTATATTATCTTATTTATTTTTATCACAACTGGTCACTGGATCTACTTTTACAAACATACATTCATGCATACATTTTGCTCATCACAGGAAATAAATGCAAAAGACAAATGGATTAAAAACAATTGAAAGCAATAATATAAAAATCTATTAGACCAATGGGACAATTGTTCTTTGTTAAGACTTTCCTTTCACATGCCCCCTTTTATCCCTAATTCCATGGTAAAAAGTGAGGACTGACCAAGAAATCATTAGAATGGATTATAGTGTCAAGACCTAGAGTTGAACAGTCCTAGGTTCAAAGCACATCTTCATGCAAATATGAGTGAACCTAAGTCTCTTAAAAGTACTGAGCCTCAGTTTCTTGATCTGTAAAAGGAGTTAAATAATATCTATTTCATAGAATTGTTGTGTGGGTCAATTAATTGATATATACTACTGAATACAATTTATAGGACACAGTATATTCTCAATAAATATTACTCTTATTTTCTTCTAAAATATATCATCACACCTTCCTTTATAATGTTATATTGCAGACTGAATAAGTTTTCAATTCCTTTAGCCTTCACCTATAAAATCAATTTATCATTTGATAATATTTTTTATGGTGAATATGTTCAAATGTGGGTTAGTCGGTTAAAAAGTCACATTGTAGATAGTCAATTGTAATTTTAATTAACTTATGTTAATATTGAATCCTATGTTAATGAATACTCTACACAGCTTGGAGCTTCCAAAATATTTTAGAATTCTAGTAAGAAAGTAACATGTATGGGCCAGGTGCGGTGGCTCACACCTGTAATCCCAGCACTTTGGGAGATCGAGGTGGGCGGATCACAAGGTCAAGAGATTGAGACCATCCTGGCCAACATGGTGAAACCCCATCTCTACTAAAAATACAAAAAAAACAAAACAAAACAAAACAAAACAAAACAAAACAAAACAGCTGAGCATTGTGGCATGCGCCTGTAGTCCCAGCTATTTGGGAGGCTGAGGCAGGAGAATCGCTTGAACCCGGGAGGCAGAGGTTGCATTGAGCCAAGATTGTGCCACTGCATCCCAGCCTGGGTGACAGAGTGAGACTCTGTCTCAAAAAAAAAAAAAAAAAGTAGCATGTATGTACACAAAAAGTAACAAGGGAAGCTATAAATCTAGAAGGACAGGTTTTGTATCTTGGTTTTAATAGATTCCTGGTGCCTGGTTCAGGGTTTGCCTTAAACTAAGTACTCAAAGATACCTGTTGAATATGTTATTTTAATCACAGAAGTGTGAATCATGATGCAGGATCTAGGAGTATAAATAAGGCAAAGGGGCAACTATTTCCAGGAGAAAAGCTAGAGAAATTTTCATAATAAAACTCATTCTAAAATCATAAATTTTAAGGAAGCAAAGTTTGAAGATTATCAACTCCAACCCACTAATTTTTGATGAGCTTTCATTTTAGTATTAATATAATTTCAAATTAGAGAAAAGATTACAAGAATTTATGCTAACTCCCATATATTCCTTACCGAAATTACGTTTTGTCTCATTTGCTTTATCATTGTTGATAAGAATAATGTGAGAATAAGTTAGAGATATTGCACTTCTTTACATCATAGTTCATGTGTATCTCCTAAGAAGAGGAGTATTATCTATGTAACCATAGTATTATTATCAAAAGTGGGAAATTTAACATTGAAGCAACTACTACCTGGTATATAGTCTGTGCCCAATTACATCAACAGTCTCAATAGTGGCTTTATAGCTGTTTCATTCCTACTCCTGGATCCAATCCAGAATCATACATTATATTTAAGTTATAATGTTTCTTCAGTTTTTTTTTAATTTAGAAAAGATCCATCTTTGTTTCTAAACCATATTTTTTTTTTGCTTTTTAGAACTACAAGTTGGTTATATAAGTCGATAACCTTGATTTGGTTTTTCTCTGATGTTTCCTTGATAAAATTTAGGTTATCTATTTGGCTGGAACACCACAAAATGATATCTCCTCTCTGTGTTGTATCAGGAAGTACATGATGTCAGTTTATTCCAATACTATCTATGTTAATTTTGATAATATCTTTGCCCTCAAGTTTTGGTATCCATTGATAATTTTTAAACCTCATTTCCATATTATTTTTACTCTAAAGAATATAAGAACTTAGGCATGTTTACTTATTTATTTATTTCAGTATGGACTCCTGGGTTCTTATTTTATTGAATAAGCTATAGTTCTTTACTACTCTTATTTAATTTGATGCTCAAACTATTTTTATGTCTTTTTTATATGTTCCTATTATTCTTTGAGCATTGTTTTTTTTTTCTGATTCAGCAAGACGTTCCAAGATAAATTACTTTATGTACCTCACCCCTGAAATCATCCTTTTATCTATTAGTGAAGAATGCCAAACCACTTATTTTTAAATGAATGATGAGAAGAGAAATATATGTGAAGGACCCTTTTTAACAAAAAATTATTAAAAATAATATCTTTCCAATTGTAAGTTTTATATATATATATATATATACACACACATACACACGTATATATGTATATCTTATATTCTTTCTTCTTTCAAGCTCATTCCTTTCTCTGCTTTTTCTCTCCTTTCTGACCCCTATTCCAACTCCTGGATTATGGAAATAATAAGATTAAACCTTTACCAAAGATAAACAAACAAAGCTTTTGTTTTCCTCCTTGTACAAATCTCCAAGGGAAGAAATCTTTACATGCCTAGCTACCTGCTTAGCATTTTTATGTGTTTTAGAGGTGAGGGAGTAGAAAAATAATACACATAAATTAATGCACCAATAAACTATCTTGCCCCAGCTCTTTTTCTTCTATCAAGATATCATTTTTGCTCGCTGTTTTGATAAATATACAACATATTGCTGCATATTTGTATGCGATTAGAAACATCAGATTCAGCAGGGGTCGACTCTGTGTAAAATTGCTTTCCTGCTGCTCTGAGTTTTTGTTGTGAAAAAAAGCCAATGAGTAAATCAATTCATTCTAAGTATCTATGAATTTAAAATGTTCACCCTTTTCAGGAAATGGACTTGCACAATGAAAGAGGGTAATGCTTAACTTTAAGAAATGAAACTCTAATTGTGGATATCTGGGGAAACATTGTTTGGAGAAAGCTCAGGACTATTAGAGAAATAAAACCTTTTTTAAAAGATCAGAAGTCTCAACACATCCACCTATTTTTTAAGTAGGCCTGAGTCTCAAGGACTAAGTAGCATTTATGAAATGGGAATTGTTTAATTAACACAATTTAGGACAGATAATTATGCTCTGCTGAGTTATAAAGACAGAAGATAGAGGTTTGTGGACAGGAATTCAACCCATCTGGAGGGTATTCCCAGAGCCAGTGCTGAATGATGAATGGGGATTCCCATTTGGACAATTTTTGCTTTCAGGTGGCAAAGTGAGTCTTCTCTTTGCACTAGGGGTTTAGAACCTGGAATTGTGGCAAGGCATGAAACTCCTTCTGTTCATGTGGAAACAGAGCTGGGAATTAACATTCATTTTGTAATTTCCTCAGAGATGAAGTAGGCTCAGTTATCTGCATGAAAGGTAGCTGTCTCTGGAAAAGCTAAAGATGTGATTTCTGCATTTCCTCACTTAATATGCACCAAGAAGTGGACATTGACCTTCAGAGAGTAGAGCTTTCATTTATTGGGTAATGAACCAATTTGCTGTCAAATTGTTTCATCAGATGCTATTAGTCACCTGGGATACAGTGGATAAGGATTTTAATTTTATTATTTTCAAGGGACAAGACTTTTGGGACTGAGCTTAATTTAGGAAGACACAGTAGAGTATGCATTTTCTGTAGATTTCTAAGAACGAGTATTTTAATTATTTTGAGATGATGAGTTATAAAAGGTCTGTGAGTTGATTTACTTTTTGTAAACCCTTTGGCTTGATAACAGGAGGTCAAATTCCAAATGATAATTTTACCTCTATGGCGGCTGGACTGTCAGAGAAACCTTGCAGTAGAAGCCTCTTCACAAAAAAAGAACAACTCACATCCATCGAACAACGCTTCAACTTAACCATTCAATTTTCTTTCCATTCAGGGTTCAGTTCAACTTAACTCATGGACAGCACCTTAGAGTCAGATACACTTACCTGAGTGGACTCAAAATTGGAGAAAATGTTGTTTCTACCTAAAAGAATTCCCTTGAGTCTGTATTCATCTAGACACAAGTTGATATTTCATTCAAATGACAGTAAAAAAGTCATTATCTATTTCAATCTGAACGCCAGCTATTGCATCTAAATATATGGTATCCAAGGCATTTAAATTTCTCCACAGTAAGCAACATGCATTAGCTATGTGTTAGGATCTTACCTGAGAGTAAAACCTGTATTTTCTAATTCCATCAAAAATTAACTTAAAACTAATTAAGATAGAGTCATAGCCTGATTCTGTCTGCTGGATATTTTAATGTTTTCTTTATATCAAATTACAGCATCAGAGTGTTACAAACTCAAATCTTATTGGTTTAGATACCTTCCGAAGTACTCTCTTTGGCCTAATATCTATATAAATTTTAGTAGGACTGATATCAGAAAAGGTCTTATAAACATTTCTTCCACAATCCTACTATTCAAAATGTTGCCATTGTTGTTGGTAAAGATCTTCAAAATAAACTTTCATTATATTTAACATAAGAAAAAAGTTTTCAAAACTGTATTCTAATTAACTAAGATTAATTAGAAATCAGTAATATTGAAGTTTTCCATTTGTCTTCATTTTCAGAAAGCATGAGTAAAATAAATATTTAATCACTCATATTTTAATGTATCTTTTTTCATTCATTTATATTTATTCAATTTTGGTATTGTATGTTGTTCTTGACTTTATCTTTTTAAAAAATTATATAATAAATTTTGGAGATATGTAGGAGGTGTGTATTTTATAAAAATATGTTAATCAAAATAATATTAAGGTAAAACTACCATAATCTTTATTAAAAGTGAATAGCAAACATACAACTTAAGTGTTTTTTAAGCAAGGGAAGATAGAGGGAATGGGTGGGAAGATTAATACAATTTCTTAGTCTATTTTTAGCTTTCCTTCTTCCCTCCTGTATAAAATTTAGCTATTTACAAACCTAAAATATTGATCAAGGAATAACTTCCAAGATGTGCTTAGGATTTACTCTTCACAGTTTATTACCGTGTTTGTCTGATAGCTAATATGGAAGACTAACGTTGCTTATAATGTAATAGTCATGAGTTCAGTTCTGGAATGGATCATTTATATTTGCTTTATTCCACCACCTCAAGCAGGCCCTATACCTTTAGCTAATATTTTGCAAATGTGCAAGTCAGATATTAGGTAGTAAAACAATTAAGTATTTAAATGTGCAGATCTAAAAAGTACTGGATATAAAACAATTATTTTAATGTGCAAATCTAAAAAAATACAAATAATATATTCTTATTTTAATGTAGTCAAAAATTTATGTCAGTGGTTAATTTTATCCAGAACTAGGATATCAATGTGTGGTAAAAATTAAAAATATAAGAGTAATGGAAAATATTTATCTGTCGTTGCTGATAATTGTTGGCTGACTGTAGAATCATATTCTTCCTGATAAGTAGTTAACAGGCTTAAAGCTACCATGTTAACATTGTAACACTGTACCTCTAAGTAGGATTACAAAATTTATATTGTATCTGCAGAAAATTTATGTAAACTGTTTTTCTTTCACCACTAAACAATGCACAAGTAGTTTCCTTTTAGTATATTTTTGGTAATGTAAATATCTGGGAAAAGGAAAAGAATAATCCTTTATTCTCCAGCTTGCCTTTGTATAGCCCTTTCCTTCATATGTTTGCAGCCAAATTGTAGACACACAAAGTGGGGATGTGATACCCAGGCATTTAGGCTAAGTCTTTACTTTCAAAGCATTCACCAGGTGAACCTGACAGCTATACTTTCTGGAGTTCTTGGAACTCATGCCGACAAGAAGGTAGATGACATCAGAAAAAGAAATGTGGGAATTAGGATACTTTTGGTTGCAAGTAACAAAACAAACAAATGAAGTAAAATGATAACAACTGCAAAACCTTACACTTCCTTACTATGGAAGAAGAATTGGTAGACAAAATTAGAATAGCTTCAGCCACAGAAAGTATTTTATCTTAATTCCTTTGAAGTTCTCTTAGCTTTGTCCTATGTTGTGTTAGGTTTCTAGTGCTTTCCTAACACAGAACCACAAACTGGGTGGCATAAAACAAAAGAAATTTGGTTTTTCACTGCTCTGGAGGCTAGAAGTCTGAACTCAAGGTGTTATCAGGGCCATGCTCTCTCTGAAGGCTCTAGGGGAGAATCTGCTCCATGCCTTTCTCTTAGCTTCTGGTGTTGCCAGCAATCCTTGACATTCTCATCTCTGCCTCCAGCATCATGTGGTATTTGTACTGTGTGTCAGTCTCTACGTCCCTTCTCTTCTTCTTATGAGGACGCTAATCATATTGGATTAGGACACCCCTTGATGCCATATGACCTCATCTTAACTTGATTACATCTACAAAGTCCTATTTTCGCATAAAGTCACATTCACTGGTACTGAGAGTTAACACTGCAACATAACTCTTGGAAGTGCATAATTCAACCCCCAACATAATTACATTCATTCAGACTGACCTCTCCAAAGGCTGTAGTAGTTCTAGGTATCACATACACGCATTCTAAAAACAACTCTGCCCCCTGCCCTTTCATCGCCATCTAGAGGAAGACAAAACCTCGTCTCCCTGGTTACGAGAAGAAAGTCCTCGGCTTCATTGTGGTTGGACAAACTTAGGACTCTTGCTCTATTCTAAGGCTGTCATTTTGGCCCAGGGAATTTGGTTTAGGTCTGCATTACCTGCTTATCTTTGTATGAATCACTTTATTAAGGGGATTGAGGTTTCCCTGTTTCCTTTAGATGATGTATGTGTTTGTCGGAGAGAGGCAGGACAGCAGGCAGCTGCTACTTGTTCCAACCAAACCTCATGACTGCTACACAAAGATGGAAGATGTTATAGCATGTACATACACATATGCTGGTGTAATAACTATCATGTCTACTATAAGATATAAGAAGTGGAACTTTCTGTAAATAACTATACCAAGGATCATGAAAACAGTCCTGTGTGTGTATGCATATGTACACATTGTGTGTGTGTATGAGTCTGTGTTTAAGCGCACTTCTTGATTTATCCTAAGGCGGATGACTTTAATGTGTACAGCCCCTATAACTGGTAAGTTCTCTTTTAAGGAGGTAGGTCTGTCCACTGATCTTTCATTTGTTATTATATTAGTTTAGTATATCTTGAGATTATGCAAATTCTATATTAGCCTAAAAGAATGTTTAGATGAGACATGAGAATAAAACATTATTAGATTTTAAATATATAGATACCAGGTTTTTGAAATTTCCCTAAGTTTTCCACCTCAAAAAAGTCATCATTTGTGTAAATAATTTTTTATAAAAACTAGAAAAATAATTGTAGTAAAATCATACAATGATAAAATAATGAAATATATAAATAAATTTAGTAAGCATGTATAACTGCAGGATACATTAAAATTTTTTCTATTTCTTCCACATGTATTAAAAAATCTAAAGTAGCTAAACATTTCTAAATCTGTGAATGTCCTTAGATAATTTGTTTTCATGACTATTTAGTGACCTAAACCCATATACTCTTTGATTATCATATTGTTTAAAAATTGGTGCTGCTATATCAAACTCAAACCAGATGAAAAATAAATTGATGCTGCTAAAATTAATAGTGACAATTTGAATGCCCTAAATACACTCTTACCTGGATGGTAAACACGCCTTCTTATTCCAGCTGCATTGCATACTACCTGATGCTTGTGGTGCCCTGAACCATTCCATTTTTTAGCTCCTCCTTAGTAGGTTCACACAATTCTGTTCCCATTAACTGAGTGGGTTGCTAACCTACAGTTTGTTTTGATACCAAACTGTATATGCCAGTTTAATTTATTATTGTAATCTCATAATTTAATTATTATGCAAATGAATTAAATATGAGTGTGAAAAATGTTTGTTCCAACTATGTGGTCTACTACTAACTTCTGTGCATTTAAATTGATTACTTTGAAAGGTTCAATAACCGTAAGTTTCTAAAATCAGCCACTCTCAAAATAGATGTGGGAGACAACTGTAAAGACTGAGAATTGTGTCCTTATGCCAATAGAGTCTATGTACTGATAGCTTAGAAGTGCCTTTAAATTCCAGTTCCACTTCAAAGCAATTGAAATTGAAAGTCTTATGTGAAGTAATGTAACTGTGATTATGTAAGAAATACAAAGCCAAACAGTAATCAGTAGATGAACGTTCAGTGAAATGTCTCAGGCTCTATATGCTCTATATGAAATGGTGGTAAATAAATATCATTAAATGTACATTTTGTTTGTTTCACTTCTAAAAATCATTCTCTGGCATATAAACCTCTCCAATCAAGTAATAAGAAATTATTATTACATCAAAAAAGAGTTATCCACTTTCATTAAAACATATTCTCAAAGTTTACTTATTAAGTTTTTGGATAAATTTATTTTCCATTAAGGAGGGAGTTTTATACACAATACTCAGGTATGCAGAAAATCCAACTTCTTTATGATACTTGACCTTAATTTTCATGACAGAGCATTGTTTCTCAAGTAGAATAGTTGTATTTTCAGAGTTTTTTTCACCTTTTCCTAATTTTTTATCTAAGATCTGAAGACTCCCAGTAAATGGAGGGAGTCTCTTCTTCCAACTGAACATCTGTAAGCCAGCGGTTGCTTCACATAGGCTCCTGCTGCGGTTTCTTATTTTCTTATTAGATCTTGAAGGTTGTTTAATGAATTTGATTTCATTTGGCGGTTATAAAAATTAAAGAAGATACCTTATTGAAAACGCCTCACATAATGCTTGGCATGAATTAGGCCCTCAATATATGTTGTTATTTTTGATGCTTTTATTATTGTTATTAAAATGTAGAGAAACTGGAATCAATAGAAAGAGCTGAAAATGAGGAATGTGAGAAAAGTCTTTAAAGTATAGAAACATATAGTCATGAAGAAAGTAATATAGGTATGGAAGCTAAGTGTTTGGTTCAGTGATTATATTCTGCTACTAACTTCTGTTTCTGTCCATTTAAATAAGCTCCTAATTTAAATTTATGGCATGTATAAAACCTTACCTTTTTAGTGTCAGCAAAATGATAACTCATGAGTGCTAACTCCTCTCCTTCTATTTGCCCTTTCAAAGTAAGGCCATAAAGTTTTGGAATGTATTAATTATATTATTATTATTGTTGTTATTGTTATTTTGATGGAGTCTTGCTCTGTCATCCAGGCTGGAGTGCAATGACACGACCTCCACTCACTGCAACCTCTGCCACCTGGGTTCAAGCAATTCTCCTGTCTCAGCCTCCTAAGTAGCTGGGACTACAGGCGCACATCACCATGCCCGGCTAATTTTTGTATTTTTAGTAGAGACAGGGTTTCACCGTATTGGTCAGGCTGGTGTCGAACTACTGACCTCAGGTGATCCGCCCACCTCTGCCTCCCAAAGTACTACGATTACAGGTGTGAGCCACCAGCCCGGCCAATTGTATTATTTTTGTTGGATTGCTGGTAGTGTTATTGGTGACATTTAGACTTCAGAGAGTAAACGGTGAATTGCAAAACAAAAATAAAATTGTATGATTGAGACAGCAATATATCCACTGATATATCCACATTCCACATAAACCTGTTGAGCATCTTTATCTCTGTTAATTTTTCCAAATGATGGAATAGCTTCAAAAGATGTCCAGAAAGGCTTATCAGGACATCAAAAACTAGCCTCAGCAAAGTCTAACAACCTAACCAAAGGTAGAATTCAGAACCTTGTAGTGTTACTGTCAAAAGGCCCCAATCTTCGTTTCTACTACAATAATAATTTAAATACCAAGTAATATTTATATATTAATTTTAGAGCTCTGTGTACATTTTACTATTGACATCGTGGTATTTTGGATTTTTTACGTTATATCATTTTGGCTATAATGTCAATATAATTTAAAATGGTATTACCACTTAGCTTCAAGGGCAACAATTCTTTAGTTCTGATCAAAGTACAGTTTTTCCATAGTTTTATAAATTTGGCTTGTAGGAAAACATGAATCTCAGGAGGGATTTTTATTTAGACTTGGGTCTATGGTCTAGCCATGCCTGGTTCACAAAATGTGGTCGGTCATTTCATTTGCCCCAGAAACTACACTTCGGAAAGAAAGAAAAGGGGCTTCATCATGGCCAATTAGAGGCATCTCTGACTTGCCCTCTTCCACTAAAAAGAACTAAAATAGTGAGCAGATAATTACACTTCAAATAGATCATCCACAACAGAACGCTGGAATTCAACAGAGAAATGACAGGAAACATCCAAAGCAAAGAAAGTAAGGAAGCAAAGAAGCCTGCTTGTCTGGGATTCACTGGGAGCTGGGAGAGACTCCCCAGTGTGGGGAAAGGGTAGATGAGAGAACCCCCACAGTGGTATACATTTCTGCCATGGACTTCTATAATCCTGGCCATGGGAGATCCCTTTACCCTCACGGGCCATGAGACTAACACAGGGAGCTCCCTCAAAAACTGCAGTAAGGCATTGCACCAGAGAGAGAGCTCATGTGGGTTTCCACAGTCCCCTTATTCCTGGGCAGTGGTAGCATGATGCCATTTTGAGAGCCCAGCCAACTCCTGCCCTGCAACTGGAGCCAAAGAAGCAGCCATAAGAAGCAATCCCGCCCCCTGAGCAGAGGGGCAGCTGCACATTCTCATACACCCTGAAGACAAATACCACTGCCCACAACAACTGTGGCTACAGATTGTTGTGGGTTGAGGTGCAGGCAAAACCCACACCCTCGCAGCTGCCTGCCTATGGCTCCTCCAGGGAAATAAACTTTGCCCTCCCTAGGAGCAGGGCCACAATGTAGCTACTGCCACTTTCACCTGAGCAATTTGCCAGTGGCCTGGGGCTCATCTTGCTCCTGCATAACAGAGCCAGTGTCTTACACACCATCCGAGGGACTGAAAGCACAATGTGACTTGGCCCCATAACCCCCGTACCTTAGCACACCATTGAAGGGTCTTGGGATTGCCCAGCCCAGTCCACCACTGGTGGCACCTAAGCACTTTTTTGAGTGTCTGAGGTTGGGCCCACTTAACTTGCCCATACCACCACAACTGTTACCCACCTGTGTGTACCACATGCAGGTCTGGGAATCAGCTCGCCTAACTATAGTCAAAAACAGCATGGACCAGTTGCGTCCCAGGGGTTTGTCCCACCACTGCTACTGCCATTGTCAATGTCATACCAACCACCCAGGCACTTGAGAACCTGCCCGTACACCAGGCCCACTGCTGCCATTCCCAGCATCTGAGCAACCCACCTGGAAGCTCAAGAATCAGCCTGCCTGGACCCATGAACGCCAGTGCCAATGTGCAGCACCCTGCACCCTGGAGCCATTACAAAGGCATCCTTAGCTCACCACTGCCACCATGGGTACCTGAAGTTTGGCCTACTTGGAGTCCCAGACCCCAGCAAAACTACAGACACCAGGAGACACCCTAAGCCACTAAGAAAATCATGGACACCACTGGTGCTATTTTACAGCCAAAAGAATCATACAGAGACTATACAACTGCATACACCCAGATTCAAAGCCACAGTGCTCTACCCAACCAGCACCATAGATATATCTTCAAGAAAAAGTCCTCCTCTATGAAAGCTAATTCAAAAAATTAGAAGAAGCAACTGTTATACCGGATGCACAGACATCAACATAAGGAAAAAAAAACATGAAAAAAAAAAAAAAGAAAATATGTCACTTTCAAAGGAACAAAATAAATATCCAGCAATAGATCCCAATTAAAAATAAATTCATGAGATCTCAGAAAAAAATTTAAAAATTGACATTAAAGAAGCTCAGCGAGATACAAAATTCCCCCCAATAATAATAATAAGAAGAAGAAACTAGAAAAACAATTCAGGATAGGAATAAGAAATTTACCAGAGAGATAGATTACTTAAAAAAAGAATCAAACAGTAAATCTGGAACTGAGGAATTCATTGACTTAAATACTAAACCTGTTAGAAGCCTTAAACAATAAATTAGATGAAGCAGAAGAAACAATCTCAGAACTTGAGACAGGTGTTTTGAAATAATCCAGCCAAACAAAAATAAAGAAAAAAAAAGAATAAAAATGGATGAACAAACCCTTCATAACATATGGGACACCAAAAAGTCAATATTCAAATATTCAAATTACCATAAATATTCAAATCATTGGGGTCCCAGAAGGAGAAAGAGAATAGGTTTTCTATTTTGTTAAATAGAATGCCTATTAAACAAAATAATAGATGAAATCTTCCCAAGTCTAGCAAGATATTTAGACATCTAGATACCAGAAGCCCGGAGACCCCCCTAAACAGATACAATGCAAAAAGCTCTTCTCTATGGCATGTTATAATCAACTGTCTAAAGGCAAAGAAGACAGCAAAAGTTTCTAGTCACGCATGAAGGAGACCATGTCAGACTAATAGTAGATTTCTCAAAAGAAATTTTACAGGCCAGGAGAGAGTGGGATATATTCAGATGCTGAAAGAAAATAAAAGACTGTTAGCCAAAGATACATTATCCAGCAAAATTATCCGGTATAAATTATGGAAAAATAAAGACTTTTTCAGACAAGCAAAGTCTGAGGAAATTCATCCTCACTAGACCAGCCCTTTAAGGAACGCTCAAAAGACCCCTAAACCTGGAAGCAAAGGATGACATCTATCATCATGTAAACACATGAATATAAAAAACTCACTGGTAAAGTAAGCATGCAAATGAAGAAGAGAAAGAATGCAAATGGTACCACTAGAGAAAACCACCAAACTACAATGACAAGCAGTAAGAAAAAAAGAAAAACAACAACACCAACAACAAATAATATACAAAACAACCAGAAAATACTTAGCAAAATGAGAAGAAAATCCCTCATATCAATAATATCCTTGAATTAAATTTTCCGTTTAAAAGATATCTCATGGTTGAATAAAGATAATATAATCCAAGTATATGCTGCCTGCAGGAAACAAACATACCTTATCTTTAAAGAAACATATAGACTAAAAGTAAAGGGATGAAAAAATATATTTCATGCAGATGGAAACTAAAAATGACCAGGAGGAATTATACATGTATATATCACATAAGAAATAATTTAAGTCAAAAAACAGTGAAAAAAAGACAAAGACGATTATTATATAGCGATAAAGGATGAATCCAGCATGAGGATATAACAATTCTAAATATATATGCCCCAATATTGGAACATCCAAATTCACAAAACAAATATTACTAGATCAGAAGAGCGAGAGACTCTAATACAATAATAGCGCAGGACTATAACACTCCACTCAGTATTTGGATAGATCATCTAGACAGAAAATCAACAAAGAAATCCCATTGGATTTTTTGTTCTAAACTTTATACCAATGGACCTAAGAGACATCTACAGAACACTTTATCTACCAAACACAGAATACTCATTTTTGTCATCAGCACATAGAACATTCTTTAAGATAAAGTATATGTTAGTCTACAAAACAAGTCTCAATAAATTTTGTAAAAGGATAATCATATCGAGCATCTTCTTAGACCAAAATGGAATAAAACTGTAAATCCATACCAAAAGGAACATTGGAAACTCTACAAATACATAGAAATTAAACAACATGCTTCTGAATGACTGTTGGGTCAATATTAAAATTAAGATGAAAACCGAAATATTTCTTGAAACAAATTAAAATGGAAACAAAACATACTAAAATTTATGGGCTATAGCAAGTAGTGCTAAGACAAAAGGTTGTAGCAATAAACATCCATATCAAAAGGAGAAATATGTTAAATAAGCAATCTAACACTGTACCTCAAAAAACAAGAAAAGCAAAAACAAACCAAACCCCAAATTAGCAGAAGGAAAGAATAAAGATCAAATCATAATTAAATGAAATAAGAAGGTCTGAACAAACAATAAAAAGGGTCAATGAAATGAAAAATTGGTTCTTCCAAAAGATAAACAAAATTGATACATTGCTAGCTAGATTATTTAAGAAAAGACAGAAGAAAACCCAAATAAAATCAGAAATGAAAAAGGAGGCATTACATTTGCTATGACAAGAATTAAAAAGGTCATCAGAATCTATTACAAACAACTAAGAAAACAAACTGGAAAATATAGAGGAAATAGATACATTTCTAGGAACATACAACCTACCAAGATTGAATTAGGAAGAAACAGTAAACATAAACAGACAGGTACTAAGGAATGAGATCAAATCATTAATAAAATGTCTCCCCAAAGTGAAAAGCTGAGGGTTGGATGGATTCACTGTCAATTTCTACCAAACTTATAAAGAAGAACTAATACCAGTTCCCTCAAACTTTCAAAAAAATTGAAGAAGAGAGAATTCTCCATAACTCACTCTCTGAGGCCAGCACTACCTTGGTACCAAAAGTGGACAAGGACACATTAACAACAACAAAAATTTGCATGCCAATATCCTTAATGAACATAGATGCAAAAACTCTCAAAAAATAGTGGCTGAACAAATACAACAGCACATCAAAAATATAATACACCATGATCAATTATTGTTTATACCAAAAATGAAAGAAGGTTCAACATTTACAAATCATTGTGCTATATCACATCAACAGAATGGAGGGTAAAAATCATATGGCTATCTCAATAGATGCAGAAAAAAACATTTAATAAAACTCAACACTACTTTATGATAAAAACTCTCAACAAACTAGGCATACAAAGAAAATAACTCAAAATAATGAAGACCATGTAATGCAAACCCACAGTTAACATGCTACTGAATGGGGAAATGTTGGAAGTCTTTCCTCTAAGAACTGGAACGTAGCACTGAAAGTCCTACCCAGAGCAATCAGGAAAGAGAAAGAGATAAAAGGCATGCAAGGTGGAATGGAGTAGTCAAATTGTTGCTCTTTATAGATAAGATGATCTCATATTTAGAAAAATCAAAATACTCTGCTAAAAAGCTCTTAGAACAGATAAACAATTTCAGTAAAGTTGCAGGATGCTAAATTAACATACAAAAATCAGTAGTGTTTATATACGCCAATAATGAAATAGCTGAAAAAGCAATCAAGAAGGCAATCTCATTTATAATAGTTATAAAAAATACCTGGAAGTAAATTTTACAAAGGAGATGAAAGATTTGTACAAAGAAAACTACAAAACCGTAATAAAGGAAATTGAAGAGGATACAAACAAATGGAAAGATATCCCATGCCCACGGATTGAAAGAATTAATATCATTAACATGACCATACTACTGAAAGCAATCTATAGATTCAATACAATCCCTTTCAAAATATCAGTCATTTTTCACAAAAGTAGAAAAAAATCCTGAAATTCATATGGAATAAAAAAAGAGCCAGAAAAGCCAAAGCAATCCTGGGCAAAAAGAACAAAACTGAAAGTCATCACATTACCTGACTTGAAAATATATTATGGGTTACAGTAACCAAAACAGCATGCCACTAGTATAAAAATAGACATGTAGACCAGTGGAACAGAATAGAAAACCCATAAAAGGATTCATATATTTACAGCTGACTGATCTTCATAAAAGCTGTCAAGGACATACATTGGAGAAAGGACGCCCTCTTCAATAAATGGGGCTGGGAAAACTGGTTAACCATATGCAGAAGAATGAAACTAGACCGCTATCTCTCACCATATACAAAATCAACTCAAGATGGATTAAATACTTAAACATAGACCTGAAACAATTAAACAACTAGAAGAAAACACAGGGAAAACTCTTCAGGACATTGGTCAAGGCAAAGATTTTATGGCTAAGACCTCAAAGGCACAGGCAACAAAGCAAAAAATAGACAAATGGAATTATATTAAACTAAACAGCATCTGTGCAGAGAAAGAAACAATCAACAGAGTGAAGAAACAGCCTCTTGAATGGGAGAAAATATTTGTAAACTACTCATCCAACGGGATTAATATCCATGATTTCAAGGAACTCAGTAGTAAAACAAAAACAAACAATAACAACAACGAAAAACAAACAAAAACCCATTAAAAGTGGGCAAAGGACATGAATGGACATGTCTCAAAAGGAGACATACAAATGACTAACAGGTATATGAAGAAATGCTGAACATCACCAATCATCAGGGAAACACAAATCAAAACCACAATGAGTTATCAGTTTGAATGGCTATTTAAAAAGACAGAAAATAACAGATGTTGGTGAGGCTACGGAGGAAAGCGAACTCTGATACCCTGTTTTTGAGAATGCAAATTAGTACAGCCGTTATGTAAAACATTATGAAAATTCTGGTAAAACTAAAAATAGAGCTACTATATGATCCAGCAATACTTTTCCTTTGGTATTTATCCAGAGGAAAATAAATTAATATATCAAAGGGATACATGCACTCCCATGATTATTTCAATGCTATTCACAATAGCAAAAATATGGAATCAACCTAACTATATATCAATGGATAAATGGATAAAGAAAATGTGATACATATACACAGTGGAATACTATTTAGATATAAAAATGGATGAAATTATGTCATTTGTAGTAACATGGATGGAACTAGGTACCATTATGTTAACTGAAATAAGCCAGACACAGAAAGACAAATATTGCATGTTGTTACTCATATGCGGGAGCTAAAAAAGCAGATCACATGGAGGCAGAGAGCGGAACGAAAGGTAACAGAGACTGGGAAGTATGTAAGTGTGTGTGTGGTGGGGTGGTTAGATAAAGAGAGAGCTGTTAATGGGTACCAACATACGGTTAGATAGAAGGAATAAGTTCTAATGCTTGATAGCAGAGTAGGATGACTATAGTTAAAAATAATGTATTCATTTTTCAAAATAGATAGAAGACCTGAAATGTACCCAACCCCTAGAAATGATAAATACTTGGGTGATGGATTAATATCCCAATTACCCTGAATTGATCATTATACATAGTGCACAAGTAACAAAATTTCTCATGTACCCTATGAATAAGTACAAATGTGAGGTATCAAACTTTTTTTAAAAATTAAAAAATTAAAAATAAATACTCTTGGGGTTTAATATATAAGCAACTTTTTTCTCCACTTTCCTTTAGTTTTCTAGAAGTATCAAAGGAAAATTTTAAGCTATGAA
Organism: Homo sapiens; assembly: GCF_000001405.40. Classification (NCBI taxonomy): domain Eukaryota; kingdom Metazoa; phylum Chordata; class Mammalia; order Primates; family Hominidae; genus Homo; species Homo sapiens. The sequence continues at coordinate 51,257,971 of NC_000002.12, forward strand.
TAATTAATTTTCTGGGTGTTTCCACCTTGAATGAAGAGATGAGGAGGTAGAACTTACATGAGAAACTCTAAGATTTCTCCTGGGTGTGGGGTTTTCAGATGCTCCCTTGACTAATAAACACACGCAAGTTTTTAGTTTTTTTTTTTTTTAACTTACTTTCAGGATTTTGTAGAATTGTGGAGACCTGTGTGTAAATGAGATAAACTATTATTGTATCTGAGAGAGTGCAATGTTGTAAATGTAATAGAAAAAAAAAGAAAAAGATGTATATATAGGCTGGAATCCATATTTTCTTGGGCATAAAAAGGAAATGAAATTAGAAAAAGAGCATGAAAATGAAAATGGTGTGTAGAGAGATTAGAGAAGAGCTAGGAAAGTGGACAAACATAAGACTAAGTCAAAGTTTTTGAGGAAGGAAGAATTGTCAGTAAGATTAAAGAAGAGAGGCTATGATAGAGAAGAGCTCAAAAAAGATCGTTGCCTTGATTAATCACAAAGTCTACCTAACTTGCTAGAGTGCAGCTCTTGCGTAATACGGTGTTTCCTTGATAAAGATAAGTATTATGTGAACTATAAGAAAGTTGGGTTTAGGAGCCTTTTTCACGGTAGCCTACTGATGTTAAGTAACAAATTCTAAATGTTTTGGCTTCCCCATAATAAGAAACTTTGCCACGGGCAAAGTGGTTAAAAATATTAAAACTGTGGAATAGAGTAAACTCCTTAGCTTGGTTATTATATTTCATTTCTAGGTAGTTGAAAAGGCAAGCAGAATAATGGCAAACTGGTTTTGATAGCAAGAAATCTACCAGAGGAGAAAAACAGGGAAGCAGTAAAGAGCAAGTGGTTAATGATGTAAACAATGAAAGGAACACCTCCAAATCTCTAGTGTAATGTGGGATCTCAAATATTTATTAAAATAAAAGTTACATGACCCTAGTAAGAGAAGAGTGACTCACATCAGAATAAAGGGTTGGAAAATGTATGGAGCTATTTTAAGGAAAAAGGGCAATTCATGATGTGCTTATTTCATATTGCATGCCTGTATCAAAACATCTAATCTACCTCACAAATATATACATCTACTATGTATCCACAAAACTAAAAAGATTTTTAATAAAAATAGTTTTTTACAAATTAAAAAAATTAAAAAAGAAGAGCAACTACTGAGTAAAGTTTATAAAATACTGGTAAGAAAGAAACAGGAAAGCAAAATGTTACTTATTATTCCTCATGGACTCATGCATTGCCACTTTTTATTTATTTCTGCTTTATTAGTTTTTTCATTGATTTTATAAGTCATTAAGCCACTACCATAAATAATTCTGCTTTATTTGTAATGTGATTAATTATGCTGATAAAAATTTTTTGAAGGCTGCTAAGAAAGCTGTGCATATATTCAGAGTCCCCCCTACCTACTAATATTAGGGAACATCTTATATTCTTACACAGATTAAACAAACAGATCTGATTTCTTACCTTTCTGTTACAATAATTGAATTATGAGAAGCAGAAATGACCTGACACATGAACTATTAGAACCACATTTCATACAGTGCCAGAGATAATTTTACTTGCCAAATTAATTCAGTTGGCTCCGTTATGAGTTCTACTACATGGATGATAAACAGGTGAAAGTGCTATAAACAAAAGATAATGATAAATGGCAGTGTATCAAGAGGGAGGTGTAGCGATGTCAAATGAAATGTCACTGAAGTCAGTGCTAACCAGACTGACTTCACAACTTCACAGTCTGGTACACGAAGAGAACAATACAATGAGTGGAATTAACAAGCATGCAAGAGTCTCTTTCCTGTGACACAAGGATGGCTAAGGAAGAATAACAGAGAGGAGGAGGACGGGTTCGTAACTGCGGAAAATCTTAGTTTTTATATTCTTCACTGAAAAGGAAAAATGAATCATTCCAAAAGGTAACAAGAAATTATACTGCAGCAAAAATTTTAATACAGGCTGAAAGTTTTGAGACATATGTAAATGAATGTGAACTACTTTACAGTGTTCTAGCACATAGTAAAGACGGAAAACACATTACATATTTATGTTATCATAGTCAAAAGGTTGTTGTCATGTTGGGAACAAAATGATTTCCTAAGAAAAGGAACATATGATTTTTTCCGCCAACTCGCAGCTGCATTTCCCTAAGTCTCATCAAACTACATGTAATTAAGGGATCAAAGTAGTGGATAAATTATAACATTTGAGCTATTTTGAAATAATACTTATTGGAGGGGGCAGGCTATTTATCTTTTTATACAAGCATTGTGATATGGTGAATGTGTATATATATATATATGAAATATATATTTATTTATTTTATATATTATATATATTTAGTTATACATTACATATATGTGTGAAATATATAAATTTAATATTTATACATTACATATATGTGTGAAATATATATACGTATATATATAAATATATATATATAGTCATTTAACAAATTTTTACTGTGATTTTAGTTGAGAATGGAACAGGACATAGACAGACATGGCCCCTGCCTGCATAGAGCTTCGTGTCTCAGAGGGCAGAGGGTCCTGAGTTTGAATTCTAGCCATGCTGCTATGTTACAGAGTAAATTCTGGCCAGATACTAAAACTTAAGGAGATACAGGTTTTTTGTTTGTTTATTTTTTGTTTTTTATATGTGAATTAGGGCTAAAAGTACTTACTCCTTATGGTTATTGTGAGGATTTAATGAAATAAAATGTATTATGCCTCATATTTATCATATAGTAGACATTCTCTGTTTTTTTTTTCAAATTCAGTACCAGTAAGTGATGTGACAGACACAGAATTCCATGAGCACAAGGAAAACTAAATAAAGTCTTCACTGTTCTGAACAACAACTGAGGGGATAAGACACATTGGTGTGATTTTTGTTGTTTATCATGGTATTGATATTTTGGATATTTGGACTTTTTAATGAAATTCTTAGATAAATAAACTTATAAGGTCAAGAAATTATTCTTAAGTAATACTGATTTTGACTATTGAAATCATCACATGCATGTAGGAGAAATGTCCATCCACTCTACTGTGAAATGAATGTTGAATTTTTCTTTAAATCATGGAGTTTAAGTATAGCGAGTTTTATACACAACTTCCTCTGTTCTTAGATTTTTATCAAAATAGGTCTCATTTGCAAAAGTGTGGGCAAGATCATGTATAAACTGTGTTCTCAGGAAGTAAGCGATATTAAGAATTTCATATGGGAGTAGAATCTGTGTTCTTGGCCTTGTATAATGTCACAATGTCAATGCTCAAGTTATATACATCACTCACTCATGTAGGTGCCTTCCAGGGAACAAAGAGCTAAACAAAGGGCTGTAGAAATGATTCAAGATCTAAGTCACATAGTTTTCATAATCTTTTATTTTACCTTCATTCCTATTTAAAGTATTATAATGCCAGTATTTTTAATTGGCTATACCCAAGGCGGAATTACAAAGTGCAATGTGAAAACCAGGAAATTTAGAGTTTACTAGGGAAGGTCACAAGCTTAAAATGAGAGAAAAAGGATACATCACCTATATTTATTTTCCATGTGCTCAGAAATTGTTCAGCTTGCCAACACACTGATGTATCATTTACTTATAATAATGCATTAATCACAATAATGAGCAATCAATTTTTGGATGTTAAATGAACACTCAAAATTAGAAACCCTGTCATTTAGAAGGCCAGTTAATGAGAGCAAGGTGAAAAAATCACTTGATTAGGCAGTTGACTTCTTTAATACAAATGTTTGTGTCTCTCTGAATTTAGAGTTTGCTGAACAATTGAGTTTTTATGCAAATTTTCTTCAAATTAGATAGAATAAACTACTTTTAAGAGAAAATTTTAAGTACAACAGCTTCATCGAGCACTTTATACATATTTGATACTCATGTTGGATGTAATTGAATTGCTATGGTTTGTGTGAACTAGAGAATAGGAAATTGCTAACTTCAATTGACTGGGTATGCTAAAAAAAGGCAGTACAAAATTCAGTATGTTGATTTATATAAAATATATATATACATATGTATATAGACATATACATATCTATAGATATGTTCCTATATAGAGATAGTTCTTATAGCTATAGATAGCACATTTACATATATACATGTATATATAGACATATACATATCTATAGATATGTTCCTATATAGAGATAGTTCTTATGGCTATAGATAGCACATTTACATACATACATATACACACACACATATATATATGTATATATATTTCTGTATCTGAAAATTATGTCTTCTTTGGGAGCAAATTTGCCACCCATTACGGATGAGAAGCCTTTGCTTTCATAGTTTCTCCAACATCAGAGGCTTTGCTTGCTTCCATATTGCAACTAACTTTCTTGTCATATAAGTAGTCAATGGTCCAGAGCAGGGATTGGCAAGCTGTAACCCAAAAGTCAAATCCAGCCTGTTAACAGTTTTTGCACAGCCTATGAACTAGGAATAGTTTTTATCATTTTAAATGGTTGAAATAAATAAAAAATAATATTTGTGACACATAAAAATTATATGAAATTCAAATTTTAGGGTCCATAAATAAGATTTTATTGTACCACAGACACATTTATTCATTTTCACTTGTCTATAGTTGCTTTTTTTGTTACACTGGCAGAGTTGAATAGTTAAAACAGAGACAGTCTGGTCAGCAAAGATGAAAATATTTACCATTTAATCCTTTAATGAAGAAGTTTTTTAACCCCTGGTCTAGAAGGCATAGTGTAGAAAATAAGTACCTTGGGAGTGGGGCTGAAGTGTAACATAGAAGTCAGCTTCTATTCTTTTTTCTGTAAATAGGTAAAATGGGATAAAACCATTTTTTTTCATCTCTGCTTATCTTAAAACTTTAAGGTACTATTCAATTTCATGTTTTATGATTAATCTCATTTTACTCTAAATGTGATAGGCACTTTTTTTTTTTATTGGTTAGTGTTCTAAATTTAATTCTATGGGACCCAGATTTCTTAATTCAACAGAAAAAATATGCTGAATTGTGTTTGGTTATTTTGAAGTCTGTTATGTAAGTGTCACGTGCGTCCATGTGAAGAGACCACCAAACAGGCTTTGTGTGAGCAGTAAAGCTTTTTAATCACCTGGGTGCAGGCGGGATGAGTCCAAAAAGAGAGTCAGTGAAGGGAGATGGGGTGGGGCTGTTTTATAGGATTTGGGTAGGTAGTGGAAAATTACAGTCAAAGGGGGTTGTTCTTTTGCAAGCAGGGGCGAGGGTCATAAGGTGCTCAGTGGGGGAGCTTCTGAGCCAGGAGAAGGAATTTCACAAGGTAATGTCATCAGTTAAGGCAGGAACCAGCCATTTTCACTTCTTTCCTGATTCTTCAGTTACTTCAGGACATCTGGATGTATAAGTGCAGGCTTGGGCTCAGAGGCCTGACAGTAAGTTCTTCTATGTAAGAACAAATTAAGGCCCCATTGTAGCACATTATACTACTTTACTAGATAGGACACACTTCTGAGGTCTTTCATGTCAAAGTATCTAACATGAGACCCTGTGTGCCTTGTCACCCAGCATGCTCAATGTATAAAATAAAATTGTGCTGTGTTCAACGTAGTTTATTGTAATGATAAGGACACTAATATTAAGAAATGTCGTGATTTATTGGGCACTATTTTGTCCCAGGACTGTTCTAAATGCTTTATATGTATTAATACATTTAATCCTCACAATAATCCTGTGATTTCTAATTTTATTGCCATTTCACTGATGAGAAAACAGAAGCAGATAGGACTCCATAAGATGTTGTAACTCTGTTCAAACTGCTCTATTTCCGAACTTCATGAAATTCAAGATCTCTGAAGTCAAGCTTGAAATCATTTTGGAGGAGTAACATGAACACAGCACTATTTGGGGCTGGTTAACCTCCTTTCCTTCCTTTACTTTAATGTTACACTGAAGTGCTGCAATTAAATCAGAATGTCTTTGTGATCATACGTTCTCCATTCAAAACGTATTTGTATTGTTACTCTATGGGTGAAACCCTCCAAACTGCATAGCAACCAAATGCCTTAGTTCCTCATAACATTGAAAAGAGAGGTGCTATCAGATACTCTTCTGTACACAGTTTTGAATGACTTACTAATGAACTCTTGTTAGTGATTCAATAGTATCATACTACTCATGTGAATAATTTGACACACTTTCTATATCTGAACAAAGTGGGACAATCTTGTGGAATGTAGTTCATTTGCATAACATTCCCTCCAGATAAGATCTACATAGTTACGCAAACACTACATATATTTAGGAGTCAGATGCATTATGCATGCCTATTTAGAAGAGTCAAATATTTGAATATTAATCATCTTTTTTTTTCTCCTACCTGTAGTATTCTTTTTATGTTCCCTCCCTTCCCTCAATACCACACAGGTGACCAAACATTTGGATTTTCCTCTCTCAGGAAAATCGTGACACAGGGGTCAAAACCAGAAGATACTCAGGGACATCTGTCTTTCTGTAAGCTATGAAGGAAAGGTGAGCCCTTCAATTTTAGAGAGTGTGTTGGAAACTCCCTGGGGCTGAGAAAGAGACCAAGGCCCTGGGAGCTTTCCTAGTGGAGATTCCCATTTTCCTTTAGCAGCTCCAGGAAGGGAGCCGGAATTCAGAAAAAAAATGGCTTAACTCTACATGGCCCCAGCTTTTCAACCTCAGCAAAAGTGTTTGTTCATCAAGCATGGACTAGAAGCAGCCCAACTGTTGGATATCTGGACCCATCTTGGCTCAGACAATGAGATTATTAGTGGTGCCTATTATGACTGAAAATTAGAGACACTTATTCCTTTTGTGAAGCATTATCAGGGTTCGCTTCATTCTCGAGCAGCCTTAAGGAAGGATTCAGTTCTCCAGTGAGTTCATGTGAATAAATTTTTCTCCATCTTAGCAGGAAAGTGGCTTTTATTTGGATTTCATTTAATTAAAAATAAATAAAGGCCAGGTGTGGTGGCTCATGCCTGTAATCCCAGCACTTTGGGAGGCTGAGGTGAGTGGATCACCAGAAGTCAAGAAGTTAGAGAGCAGCCTGGTCAATATGGTGAAACCTGTCTCTACTAAAAATAAAAAATTAGCTGGGTGTGGTGGTGCATGCCTGTAATCCCAGCTACTTGGGAGGCTGAGGCAGGAGAATCGCTTGAACCCGGGTGGTAGGGGTTGCAGTGAGCTGAGATTGCGCCATTGCACTCCAGGCTGGTCAACAAAAGCACAACTCCATATCAAAAAATAAATAAAAATAAAAATAAATAAATAAGTGTAACATCTCTGTGCAGTTGAGATTGTGAGCTAAAATTATGGCCACTGCGTGTGTACATATGTACAAAACAAATACTTTTTTCCAAATATCCCTAACCATGTACCATTATGTCATTCTCCTCTGAGTCATATTGATGGAAAAAACAAACTGTAAAATATTTAAAGAGGTTTATTCTGAGCCAATATGAATGACCATGGCCCAGGGAACTGTCTCTGGAGATCCTGAGAAAGTGTGCCTGAGGTGGTTGGGTTACAGTTTGCTTTTATATGTATTAGGAGACATGAATTGTAGGTAAAACCATAAATCAATACATGGAAGGTATACACTGATTCAGTCTAAAGAGGCAGGATGTCTTAAAGTGGGGGCTGGGCTGGGGGGGTGGCACTTACAGGCCATAGATGGATTCAAAGATTTTCTGATTGGTAATTGGTTGAAATAACTAAGCTTTGTCCAAAAAACTTCCAGTCAGCAGAAAGTTGAGTTAAGTTAAGGGGGGTTGTAGAGGCCAAGGCGCTTGTTACACAGATGCAGCCTCCAGGTAGCAGGCTTCAGAGAGAATAGATGGTAAATATCCCATTTCAGACCTAAAGGTATCAAGCTCTCATTTAATCTCCCCTGGATCTGGGAAAGACGTAAAAAGGGAAGACCTGTCTGAATTAATGGAGATTCTCTACACTTGCAAATTTCCTCCGCAAGAGGTGGCTTTGCACATCCATTTCAAAATAAGTCAAAGAAATATGTTTTGGAGTAAAATATTTTTATTTCTTTCAGGGTCTGTTATCTGTCATATGATGCTATCCCAGAATCAGGTTTGAGTTTGGTAACTTATTGCCAAAATGAGTCTGTTTTGGCAGTCTTGTGATCTCTGCTTATATTAATAGTTAATGCTGGTGAGTTGTGCCTTAACTCCAAAAGGGAGGGGGCATAACACGATGTGTTTGACCTTCCTTCCCGTCATGGCCACCAAGAATGCAATTTTTCAGGATTCTCTGGGGTCTCTTTTGCCAAGATGGGATCCATTCAGTGTGTTGGCAGGCTTAGGATTTTATTTTTGGTTTATAGTCACATAAAAATATACCTAAGTGTCAATAAAAAGGATTATTCAATTAACAAACACATAAACTCTTACTTTAATTTCTCAGCATGTTACATGAAAAATAGCACATTGGCTCTCTATATAAAGAGCAACAGCATGCTCATCAATTGCTATCTTTCATATGTATTCTGTTAGTTTTGGACACGTTCTCTGAGACTCTTCTTCTGGCCCATTGTTTTTGGTTTTGTTTTGTTTTTTTCTCAATGTGGGTGAAGACTCTTGGGTACATAATCTATCTTCACAAAGAATCATAGTGTATCCCCTGGCAGTCATTTAATTTCCCGCCACCAAAGAGCAGCAGTCAGGAAATACCCAACAGAAATACCCAATAAGATCTGTCAGAGTGGATTTGACATTTCTACTTAATTATTCTTGGTAAAGGATTTGAGATTTTCTAATAGAAACTTCTATGTCAGGACAATAGATTGTAATTTAATTTGAAACTATTATCTTGCCTTGTTCTGCTTTCAGAAGGACTTGTAGAAAACAGGCTTTAATAGGTAAATAACAGCAGTTGCAAATAAAAGTGGAATATTACAGATTCCATTTAGCAAAGGCCAAATGGCCAATTCTATGAGAAGAAAAGAAATTTAACTCACCATAAGCCTATTTATTGCAGAGACAGAAAATGTTACCCTCTTGTCCACTGTTTATGACATTTCTTTAATAACATACTATATTAAGGACTAAACTTAAATATAGAAGTTTAGTTTCCCATCTCCATATATTATTGAGATTTTGTTTAGTCTATAAATTAATTTCACTTGGGGCATCTGAATGCTGTGCAAAAACAGATACGCAAAGATTAGAAATTGCTGTCATTTTTTTCTTTTCTAGGAATCCACTGATAATACAATAAAAAATTCCAACTTTTACTTAAGCAGTCACTATCTATGGTAGTATCTGGAAAGAGTGTTGATTGGCCATTCTAAAAAAGCCTAATCTCATTTGAGAGAAGATATATTTTAGTCACAGTTCAGATAGAACATGGTATTTGGAGACCATTAGTAAGTCCTTGGTTCTGCCTGTAGGCAGAAAGTCAGAATAAGATAGACTGAGCTGTATATAATATGCCATTCTTACCAAAATAATTTTTTTAAGTGACTGATCATTGATTTCTCGTGAACCACAGAGGAAGACCTTTGAAAATATGGAGAATAGATAAGAGCCAACAAGGTGTGATGTGAGGGTTAAGTGAAAGGCCATATTCTCTAAAATATGCCCAAACTACAGTACCACACTGCCAGAAATACTTCCAGAAATAACAGCTTCCTTAGCTTTCTGGTGCTTGTTCTTTTTTATTTATTTTATAAATTAAAATATTCAGTGGCATATTAGAAATAATTATTTAATCTAACTTATAAGATCTTAAAGCTGGGTGTTGTGGTTGTGCTGGAAGCTGAATAGGTAGGTAAAAAGGATGTCGAGGTCTGCTCTCAGCGAAAAAGCTTTGGAAGGGGAGGTAACTCAGTGAAAAGCTCTGGAAGGGGAGGTAACTGGGTGAAGGGAAGGGAAAAAGTAAATGTCATCTGCTCAACAGTTCTCTTTAGGAGTTATGCTAGCTATAGGATTATAGTATTATCTCCTTTGAAGTATTTCTTTCCTTGTTAAATTCTTTGAAATATAGAACTCCGTATATATTAAAAGCCTGGTAGTCTTGTGGCCAGTATTTTTCCCCACCGTGGAGCCTAATATGTATTTATGTTGTATTTAGTATTCCTCTTTCTTTATCAAACAAATAACAATCAATTTCTTAACAAGATACAGTTTTATGACATGAAGGTTTCGGTTCATTCTTAGAGATTGGACTAGTTAGGGTTCTCTAAAGAAACAGAGCCAGCAGAGCAGGAGGTTTAATTCAGTCTAAGTCAAAGAGCTATGACCAAGAGCTCTGATGTCTGAGGGCAGGGCAGAAGATGGATGTCTCAGCTCAAGAGGAGAGAGTGAATTTGCCTTTCCTTTTCCTTTTGGTTCTACTGGATCTGTCAATGGATTGGATGATGCCCACCCACATTGGTGAAGGCGAGCTTTACTTAGCCTCCCAGTTCAAATGCTAATGTCTTCTAGAAACACCCTCACAGACACACCCAGAAATAATGTTTTCCCAGCAGTATGGGCATGCCTGACCCCAGTCAAGTAAACATACACAATTAACTATTACAAAGGCTTAAGATAGTATACTGTTATAACATTCTAGGACAGACTGCCTTGTATAAAAATGTAGCTCTTTTTTTCTAGCTGTGTGAATTTGGCAACCTAATTTCTTCTCTTGTTATCCAAAACAAACAAACAAACAAAAAAATACAATACAATACAATAAAATGAGGATAATAATACCAAATATATAGCCCAGTTTTTGGTAAGGTTAGATTGTGTGTGTGTGTGTGTGTGTGTGATTGAGAGAGAGAGAAAGAGGACCTCATCTGGCACACACTAAGGGCTAAATAATTATAGTTATTGTTTATTATTGTTCATTCAAGAAATATTCAATAAGTACATATTTTCTGCCAAGTACTGTCTTTGGCACTAAGGATAAAGCAGCAGAAACCAAACCAAACTAGAGACTATAGTCACATAAAGCTTACACCATGAATTATAAGACTTAGCTATTATAATTGCCTGTTATGAAAAACATTACATCTAACACGGAAAAAAAAAGCCTTCTCCCACAATCACACAAAAGAAATCCTCTACCAAGACTACAAATTGTAGAGGAGGCCACAAAACTGCACTGTGCTTTAGAAGATTTGCTTTATTCACTTACAGGTGTGACCAATAGCTAAGACAATGCAGCTAAAATAATAAAAAAATGAGTGTGCCATAGACAAAGCTAAATAAAAGTTGTTGCTTATTTCTTTTTAGGCAATTTTTTTAGTAGTTCTCCCAGGCCATTGACATCTCTTACTTTTTCATCATGACAACAAATATCCTTAAATCCTGACGCAATACCTGTCATCGTTTGACACTGCATTCTGGAGTCAATCTAAGACTGTGAGAGTTTATATAGTCTAGTAACCCAGGAAGAAGTATTTGATAATTATCTAATCCAGTGGCCAATTAAGATCAAATAAGTTCAATGAAATCTTACTAATATTTTATAGAAATAAATAATATTTTGAAAAATATTATGATAAAGTCTTCATTGCTTGGAAATCATTCAAAAATTCATAATTTTGTGACTTTTTCATTTGTCCTCAATAGAATGAGAGAATAACTTTAGATAACCCATTTATTCACCCAACTAGTCCTCTCCAGGTAACATTGATCTGACTTCTTTAACCTTCCTTAATAGATTAGGAGGAGAAGGCGTCATTTCTTAAAAAATCATTGGATTAGATGGTTTATCTTACTTGGCAAAACAAAGGAGTTACCGAATTTTATAGTTGAAAGCAACAATATGGATCGTCAAAGACAGTAGCTTTCAAGCTTTACTTTCTTAAGCTTTGTAATTCTTTCTTCAAATAAAAATTTATGCAGAAGTCCAAAATGTAAAACAGATAAAAGGAAAGATACTCTGATTGAAATGAGGTACAGGCTCTGGAGCTCAACTCCAGAGTTGCAGTGTAATTCATTGCAAGCCAAGAGGTTCTAGTTTGAACTTCTCTAACCAAATTCAAGTCTTTCATTTCTCATTTGAAGAAATTTAGGGTTGGCGAGGTCAAAATAAATACCATAGGTGAAAATAAATATCTTTGTTTAAGGTCAGAGAGCTGGCACAAACAGGGCCAGGAGTAGAACCAAAATCTCCTGATAGCTACTCCAGATTTTTTCCCCTTTACATTAAGATATAATATTTGGCACTAAGATTAAATTGAAGGTTAAACCAAGTAATGCACTACTGTTCCGCTGCCAAGGTAACATAATAAGTAGCACTGTGGGCTGGGAGCTATTTCTACAACCTCTTTGGAAAATAGAATTTGCCACCATCCTTCCTCTGACCACAAGATTTCACATTCCTCAACCATGAAAAATACATTTATCCCCTCCTACACGTATCCAAGTTTCATCGCATTGCTGTATCAGCTCAAAGTCCATGCTTCCATTATCAAATGCAGGTCCAGGTTCGGAGGATCCTCAGATACATTTCCTCAAAGACAGTTCTTTGTGTACCATTCCTCTTCATCTGAACACTAATGAATTAGGTACACATTATCTTAAACACCACACCCAGCAAATGAGGGTGGGGTAGGCATGGGATAAATTCTATAGATACTCATGTTTAGAAACTGGAAGAATTGGGAGGCCCGTAACAGCTACTGATCCATAGCAATTCAGAAATACAGTCAGGAAACACGCTGCTAGTTCATTGATTTGGGCTCAGTCCTACTGTCTGAAAATGATTCTGCATTGCTCTTGGTTTCATCTTTTGGCTTCTTGTTTTTGCCCTGTTAGCCATCCTTTCTTTTCTATAAGAAACAGCTGATGCTTGAAGCTAAGGAGTTTTCTCAAATGGCTTCTGTCTTATAGTAGCTCAAGAATCTAAAGACCTTTTTTCATTTTAAACTACCTGTAATTTTAGGTCATGATGACAATGTTTTCTTGACCTCTCCTAAAAATGTTTGGGATCTCTATAAGTCTTATTGGAGTTCAGTCCACAAAGCTACATCCCCATCTCTCTTTGATATAAGCCCTTGTCTACTTGGGACATTTTTTGAAACTGCTATGGAACAATACTGTTAGTCTTAGAAGCCTGATTTAAGATGTAGGTTTTGAGATTCTTAAGTCTTTTTTCTATTTGAAGAAGTATACTGCCTTAGGTGATATTGAGGTCTTAACAAAGAACTTTGCAATCTTACCTTTGGCTTCATCTTTGAACAATATTTTTCTTCTTCCAGCTCCCTAGATTTAATATCCACCTAGAGGTTTCTTATTAATCTTAGCATATCTTGCAACCTGAGCAATAAAAAATGAGGATCGGTTTTATTTTCAAACTCATCAAGTCCTTGTTTCCTTGTATGTAACAATTCTTTCCTTAACTTATGTATTTTGTTTCTTTAGTTGGCAGCTAGAAGAAGCTAGAGATGTAATACAATATTTTACCTGAATATCTTCTTAACTAAGTCACAGAATTCATTAGGTTTTTTTTTCTTTTTTTATTGTCACAGGTAATAGCATTGCTCAACTTTCTACCACTACATAACAAGAGATTTTTATCCTCCATCATTCAGTTTTATTTTCTTCATTTTCCTTTGAGTCTTCACAGACATTCTTCTCAGGGATCTTCAGGCTTTTGCTCACATTCTCAAGGATTTCTAGCTTCTGTTGACCATCCTTTCTCAAAGGCAATGCCACATAATTTAGTGTTTATTATAGCAGCATCCACTGGTCTGATTGCAATGACTGGATAACAAACCATCCCCAAGTTAGTGAGAAATAACAACAATCGTTTATTATTATTATTAAATTTCTTATGGTTTGAGGAATTTACTGGGCTTAGGCAGTTCTCTTTAGGCATCTCTTGTGGTTGTTTTCAGATAATGGCTGCGGCTGGGGTCATCTCTAAGGCTTTCTTATATTTCTGGCAGTTGATGATGGCTGTTAGCTAGAATCTCAACAGCATCTCTTTCTGACTGGATCCCAGTGGTAAGTTCCACAGAGAGAAGCAAGTACAGGCTCTTGCCTTTGATGAACTAGCCTCAGACATCACATAGCATTAATTTCAATGTACTCTATCAGTCAAGGCAGTAAGGAGAACCCACCTAGATGCAAGGAGAAAAGACTAAGCACCTCCGTTAGACAGAGAAGTACATGGTAAGAAGTGTAAGAGTGATGGGAATCAATGCCTTTGGAAATTAGTATTCCACAAACGCTTACTCCAAAATGTCAGCTGTAATGCATTGAATAGCAGAAAGAAAACATAATGAAAACAATATAATAGTGATATTAAACTATTTCAACTCCAATGGATGAAAACTGCTTAGTGTGTTTTTATTAATAATAGCTACTAAATACAATCACATTGGAGATATTTGAAAAATTGTCTATCTCCATGTTCTAATGTTTGAAAATAGATCCAACAAAATGTATGATAGTTAATTCTGGTAGAAAGTAAATATTTCATAATACATGAGAAAATTCATATTCAGTAGAACAAATAAATATTTCAGACTGTCTTGAAGAGAGAAAATGGCCTGAATATGAAAAGAATAACTTCCCTATTAAATTCTAAGATAAAGTTGTGTGATAAAAAAACATAATTTCTGAAAAACTGAATTTGATGATATTTAACCCTGTTTGCTTAAGTGCTTTTTTTTTTTTTTTTGAGTCTGTCTCCCTCTGTCACCCAGGCTGGAGTGCAGTGGCGCAATCTCGGCTCACTGCAAGCTCCACCTCCTGGGTTCTCGCCATTCTCCTGCCTCAGCCTCCGGAGTAGCTGGGACTATAGGTACCTGCCACCAGGCTCGGCTAATTTTTTGTATTTTTAGTAGAGACGGGGTTTGACCGTGTTAGCCAGGATGGTCTCCATCTCCTGACCTCGTGATCCACCCGTCTCGGCCTCCTAAAGTGCTCAGATTACAGGCGTGAGCGACCGTGCCCGGCCGTTTCTCTTTTTTAAAAGAGATTTTATTGTAAGATAAAGTGTATAAAAACAAAATAAAACGTAATTACCTTAAATGATGCAGCTACTTTTGGGCAGCAATTCAACATGCTTTTGACTACATATTGGAAAAGATCTCTCATCCTTTCTTGTGGGAAAGGAAGATGGGACTAGATTAATGGGTTTCAATCTATTAGAGTTTTAAGATTGTTGGCATCTCAAATCAGGAAGTACTTAAGTCATATCCCAAATCAGGAAGTACTTATGTCATACTTATATCAAGTTCAAGTAGATGATCATCTTAGTAAATGTCATTTTTAAAAAATGCCCTCCTATTATTAAGTTAAACTTACCTCCCATAGTAACTATATCTGTATATTATTCCCTTGCCTATAGGCCTTTAAAGAATTCCAGAGAGGGAAAATATTTATTGAATGTCTAATATGTGCTAGGCATTATGCATGTCCTTTTAACATGGTATCTTTTATTTCCCTCATGGCCGATTCTGATATAGCTATTCTTATCACCATTCATCTTAGGGCTTGTTTGCTTGTTGCTTTATTTTATTTAAAAAATACTTCATGAAATATGACAGGCATGTAAAAGCATAATGAATACTTGTGTATGTATCACCCAAATTAAGAAATAAAATATTCCAAATAAAATAGAAGTCCTCTGTGTGCCTTTTCATGACCCCTTTCCCCTCCTTCCTATCCGTGAAGTAATTATTATGGATTTGTTGCTTTCATACATAAAACAATATTATATTGTTTTTCATGGTTTAAAATATAAATGATGTCGCTGTATCTACTGCAGTGTTGCTTTCCTGAAAATTATATTTTTATTTTTCCCATGTTGATGCAGGAATAATTCAGATTTTTTTAACAGTGTTTAAGTTGTATAATATTCATTATGTTTATCCATATTTTTAACATAGATGATTACATTAATATTTTTTACCAGTACCAATCATTTTAAAATGAGTATTTTATATTTATTGGCTTCTGTCTAAGAAATTAGGATCAGGATTAAGCCCTTCATGCCCATCCTAGTCTTTCAAAATATAATTCATAATCTTTTGTTAAATTAGCATTTACTCTACATATCATTATGAATATGAAATACCACTCATAAGGAAATTGTACAGAGTTTTGCAGTTAGTTTTCACTTCTTTTTCTACTTCCCCCAAACCTCCCACTGTTACTATGGGATGGGAAGGTGTAAGGCAGGGAAAGATTGCTATTTGGTTTTGTAATTGTGTTTTAAAAGTAGGTAAGTGGCACTTTAATGAAAATTTAACTTATTAAAATGAAAGGGAAATCTGTGTCAGAAAGGAAGAAATAAAGACAAAGAGGGGGACGTATGAGTGAATTTTCTATTTATATTTATTACTTTGTAATTCTATCTCATTTTTAAAAATATATTTTTCATTCCCTTTCATGGAAAATGACTTAGAGAGCTGAATTTCAATTTAGTCTTCTCAAGCTGGCTGATTCTCTATCCAGAATGTTACTCTTGATGCAGGAGTAATTCAGATTTTTTTAACAGTGTATAAGCTGTATAATGTTCATTATGTTTATCCATTTTTTAAAATATAGATGATTACATTGTTTAAGATTTTTCACCAGTACCAGCCATTTAAAAATGAATATTTTAGACATTATTTATTGACTTTTGTCTAAGAAATTAGGATCAGGATTAAGCCCTTCATGCCTACCCTAGTCTGTCAAAATTGCACCCCAACAGGGTTGCTCATGAAAGTTTCTACTGTCAGTGAAAATTTGCACTGGACATATTAAACCGGCAAGAAGATTTTTTTCAAGACTATTGCAATACGGGCAATACATTGAACTTGACTCCTCCAAAACAAAAGGCAGGGGAGTTTTTAAGCACTCCGGTGAGCTGGTAGAAAAATACCAGAGGAAGTTAGGAGGGAGGTGAGCAAATCTGGTCAGGCTATCTGTGTTTGCTAATTGTGTTTATCAAATTCAATTTTACCTGCAAATTTTTATTTGTCAAAGTTAGGCTTCTACCTTGTCACAAAGACTGGGAGGTGGGGACCCTGTCTTTCTTCTTCATGACTACATTTCAAAGGGATGGCTCCCAAGTCCTTGAGGAACACATTACTGGGTTGTAAAACAGGCAAGAGGCTGGAAGAAGATTTACATTTCAAAAAGCACAGCGAGAATTTAGGACTGAAATTTTTCTAAAGTAAGCGCTTTGATGCTCCCAGAAAAAAGAAATCAGGGGCCAATAGTCAGGAAGAAACCTGTCTAGATTTCCTCAAGCTGAGAGGAATGATGAGGCTGTCTTGTTCACTACAGAATCTATTACTGGATAGTTGTTCACAATAAGGACAGTGCAAAGGCAATTAAACTTTCATGATGCCTGAGAAAAACGTTCATCATTTAGTGGATGGGGTAGAGGGAAACAGGGCTGCCAAATGTCCTGCAATGTATGGAATATGCTCACATAATGACAATTTTCCTACTCCAAAGGTCAATAGTGCAACCATTGAGAAATGCTGATATCCAGCTCTTTCAAAGGACATGTCCGAAGTTTCTATGACTGGAGATCTTAGTAGTTAGGAAGTTATTGCAACCTGTGTTCTGAAATGACAGAATTATACTTCCACTCATTTTCTGCCATAGGACAGATGATACTTCCACTTATAATTTTTTATCTCAGGGTACATTTTCTCGCATCTACTAGACGGACATTTCCAAGTACTGAATTACAGAATTCCTCATCTTCCTCTGCAAAGGTCACAAAAATATATGTGCAAATTATGTCCAAGAAATAGTCCTTGATTTTTCACAATTCATGGAGATGACTATGCATAAAATGATTAAAAATTACATAATTACATGAGTAATGGACTTCCAACTTTATTATAAATTATTTACAAAATTTTGGTGCTATGATTTTCTCATAGTTAAAAAAGTTTAAATAAAAACTTCACCTCTGTAAGAGGGATGTTACATGGAATAAATCATGCCTGAAGAATTTGTTTTCAATTTCGTCAACCCTTCAGTAATTCCAAACAATGGGACTGGCATAGGGTGATCTGATTTGGTTATAATCTTTTTCTGCATTACCACATCTTTTAAACTACATTATTGAATTTCATTTCCTGCTGTAGATAATCTCAAAAATCTCTATTTTGTTTGAGTAGAATGCAAAACCAAACATAGCAGATTGTGCTATTTTGATAGGTAATTTTAAAATAACTGAGGTCATAATATTTGTTATTCTATGCAATTAGGGATTTCTGGAACCTTTTCTTATTACAACATATGTGGCAAATATATGGCTATTATATACTATTTAATAGTATATACACTATTATTATTACTGTTACACTATTATACTAATAATTATACCATTATTATATTATACCATTATTATTGCTATATATACTATTATACTAGTATTATATATACCATTATACTATTATATATGTGTATATATATAAAAGAGTATTTAATAGCCACAAATATACTACTTATTTAAACCTATTCGAATACATTTTTATTATATTACTGAATACTGCATATCCTCCACTTGAGTGTAATAATATCCATATAAAATCAAATAAACTTCCTTGCTCCATATCTTACTTTAAATACCTTACCCACTCTCTTTGCTTCTCTTCTGTGGTAGGCAGAGTAATGGCTTCTGAATATATATGCTCCCTAATCCACAAAATCTGTAAAAATGCTATCTTACAATGCAAAGGAGTCTTTGTAGATGGGGTTAAAGTTAAGCGCTTTGAGAAAGGGAGATTTTGTTGTGTTATTCAAAGAGGCCAGTCTTACCGCATGAATCCTTAGAAATGGAGGATTTCATGGCTGAGTTAGAGACAGTGATGTTATAACCAAAAAAAAAAAAAAGGATCAGAGAGAAATGCAATGTTGCTGGTTTTGAAGATGTAGGGGGCCAGGAACCGCAGAATATGTTAGCCTTTAGAAGTTGGAGAAGCCGAGGAAACAAAATTCTCTTCCAGAGCCTCTGAAAAGGAACACAGCACAACTTATATCTTGATTTCATCCCAGTGAGACACACGTTAGATCTATAACCTACAAAACTGTAAAATAATACATTTGTATTATTTATGCTTCTAAATTTGTGATAATTTGCTAACAGCATAGAAAATGAATACAGTTTAACAGCTAATTTTTTTAAAAGAGGCATCTCTTGTTGCTGCTAACATTAATTCACTTTGAATTTTTTCTCTAAACAATTCCCATAGGGCTTGCATTCTCACCACTCTACTGATTTGTTATCAAAGACATCTTTGAACTTTATGTCTCCTAAATCCAACGGTTACTTCTCTATTTTTATCTCAACTGCCCCCTTAGCAATATTTGAATCAGTTGACCAATTTTCCCTTATTAAAATACTGCATTATTTTCAATTTAGGGAAAACCCACCTACCTGGGTTTCTTCCTATTTCCAACCTCTCCTTACCTGATTTTGCTAATCTGTTTCCATGTCCATAAATACAACTATGTAACTTATTACTATAAATTTCCTCTGCCCAATTCCAATATCCAATTGTCTATTTGTCTTTTTCACTTGGTTATCTAATCATATGTCAAACATTGTGGCCAAACCAAAATTCTTAATTTTCATTTCGAATCTTCTCCTCACACTCATTCTGTTTCTCAAGCCAAACTCCTAAAAATTACCCTAGATTTTTTTTTATAGCTAACCTTCATGTTCGGTCCTTTGAAAATACTACTTTCCTCCCTGTCTCCAATCTGTGTGCTTCTCTTTATTGCCTTTAACATGTTCTAATTCAAATAATCACCATCTCTTGCCTTGACATTGCAAAGGCCTCCAATAAGTCCACTTGCTTCTTCTCTTTTCACCTCCTTCCCTTCTTGAAAATACTGTTCTTTAAATAACTGCCAAAGTGATTTTTTTAAACAATGTAAAACATATAGAATCACTTCCCTTGTAGCCCTCAAATGAATTCACAATCCTCCAGTGGAATTTCATTTTATTTACAATGAAAATCAAACTAGCCTCCAGCTCTGCATTATATCATCTCTGCTATCTCTATGATTTTACATCAGAGGATACCCTTCCGTATACTCCAGTCTTCAACCATTGTATGCCAGTGGGGCTTGAAATAATTATTTCTTCTACCTGGAATTCTCTTTCTCAGATCTTTATGGCACCTTCTTATCACCCTGAGTTCAAAGACAAGGTTGCACAGGGGCCTTCTCTTGTCATCAAATGCAAGGTAGTCATCTAGTCACTATCATATTTTCTGTTTTAATTCTCTATATAGTATTTATCTATTTTTTCTTGTTTACATGTGCATTGATTTGTTTTTGTTTTTGTTTTGAGATGGAATCTTGCTCTGCTGCACAGGCTGGAGTGCAATGGCATGACCTCAGCCCACTGCAGCCTCTGCCTCCTGGTTTCAAGCGATTCTCCTGCCTCAGCCTCCTGAGTAGCTGGGATTACAGGCGCTGGCCACTACGCCCAGCTAATTTTTGTATTTTTAGTAGAGACAGGGTCTCACCGTGTTGGACAAACTGGTCTTGAACACCACCTCGGCCTCCCAAAGTGCTGGGATTACAGGCGTGAGCCACCGTGCCCGGCAACCTACCATGCCCAGCGAAAATGTGCATTGATTTCTTATCTGGTCTTCAGTGGAATATAAGCTTCTTGATGGCAGAAAACTTGTCTGTTTGCTGTTGTGTCTTTAGAGCCTGGAAGACTTCTGTTTGTCTATTATACCTTCATTTTGTGTCACAGAGGGAATTAAATGTCTTCCAATTCTGGCCAGGGCAATCAGGCAAGATAAAGAAACAAAGCGTATTCAAATAGGAAGAGAGGAAGTCAAATTGTCGACATGATTGTATATTTAGAAGAAGTCAAATTGTTGACATATTGTATATTTAGCACACCCTGTCATCTCAGCCCCAAATCTCCTTACGCTGATAAGCAACTTCAGCAAAGTCTCAGGATCCAAAATCAATGTGCGAAAATCACAAGCATTCCTATACACCAACAATAGACAAGCAGAGAGCCAAATCATGGGTGGACTCACATTAACAGTTGCTATAAAGAGAATAAAATACCTAGCAGTATGACTTACAAGGGACATGAAGGACCTCTTCAAGGAGAACTATAAACCACTGCTGAAGGAAATAAGAGAGGACACAAACAAATGGAAAAACATCCCATGCTTATGGGATAGGAAGAATTAATATCATGAAAATGGCCATAATGCCCAAAGTAATTTATAGATTCAATGCTATTCCCATCAAGCTACCGTGACTTTCTTTGCAGAATTAGAAAAAAAACTACTTTAAATTTCATATGGAACCAAAAAAGAGCCCATATATCCAAGACAATCCTAAGCAAAAAAGAATAAAGCTGGAGGCATCACGCTACCTGACTTCAAACTATACTTCAAGGCTACAGTAACCAAAACAGCATAATGGTAGTACCAAAACAGGTATATAGACCACTGGAACAAAACAGAGACCTCAGAAATAACACCACACATCTACAACTGTCTGATCTTCGACAAACCTGACAAAAATAAGCAATAGGAAAAAGATTCCCTATTTAATAAATGGTGCTGGGAAAACTGGCTAGCCATATGTGGAAAACTGAAACTGGACCCCTTCCTTACACCTTATAAAACATTAACTCAAGATGGATTTAAATGTAAAACTCAAAACCATAAAAACCCTAGAAGAAAATCTAGGCAATTCCATTCAGGACATAGGCATGGGCCAATTTCAAATGTCTTTCTGTGTAATAGTTATGAACCATAAACTAGCATAGTATTTTGACAATGTCTACACACTTTCTTAATCTGAACTATAGTCATTAGTATTAATGTAAGAAATACCAATTTACTTCAGCCAGATGTCATGGAAAGAGTATCATATGGAATATGTTGACCTTTGAATTCTAGGTTTTGCTCTAACCCTATCTCATATCAGAATTTCATCTTTCCGAATTTGTTTAGTGATGTGAAAGGTGGTGGGATGGGTATTACATTCTGACAATGTTAATAATCCAATGCTTCTGTAACTAATGCCATATATATGATGCTGGTAAAGGAACATTATCTAAATGATACAGGATTCACTTTCTTTTTCCTCTCCAAGTGTTTTTGCTATGATTCCAGCTAAATCAATTAAGACAAGTGGCTGTCTAACACAGTCTCCTTACTATCAAGGTAAACAAAACTTTACCTGTAGGGAAGTTTTCCCCCTAATGTTAAATTAGTTTGATATTTACAAGTATTTCCTAAGGTTCCATTTTGATAGAGATAATCACACTTTTTATAAAAGTTAAATCTATTCATTTTCTTTGTATGTGCTCACATGATAGTTAATTTAGCATCATGGATGGAGTGAGTTTAAATAGAGAATATCTGCCAGTTTGTAACCACAACCAGGATGGTGTGTGCCACAAAATAAAAAGTAACAAGTTACTTTGAAAAGGATTTTCTTAACATAATATAAAATATTTCACCTTTCAAGTCACTTCACCTATATGTTAATTATTCTCTAAAAAATACAACAAATATTTATAAGACTTCACATAATCATACAAAAATTTTCTAATGTGAAAAGAAATCTAAATTACTTTTCAGACTTTGTGATACTTTTGTGGATGCTGATAAAAATGCCTCATATCTATGAATATAAGTTTCTCTCCTTAATACTGTTTCCATTGTAAGATATTTAATAAAATGGGATCGCTTATTGTCAAAGAAATTTAATTATTTTTTAGCATATCATGCAATTTACTAGCTTGTGAACATCAGACAAGGCCAAATAGTATATGAAAGTGCTGAGGAATTTGATTATAAGTTGTTGAATATTGAAAAAGAATGTCCTGGAAAACAAAAAAATACAGTTATCACATTGTCCCTTCTCAGCCTAAAAACTACAAATTGCAAAGTACAAGATTGAAACATAATAGGACTGTGCAATTGTCAATTTTTTTTTTTTTTTTTTTTTTTTTTTTTTTTTTTTTTGAGACGGAGTCTCGCTCTGTCGCCCAGGCCGGACTGCGGACTGCAGTGGTGCAATCTCGGCTCACTGCAAGCTCCGCTTCCCGGGTTCACGCCATTCTCCTGCCTCAGCCTCCCGAGTAGCTGGGACTACAGGCGCCTGCCACCGCGCCCGGCTAATTTTTGTATTTTTAGTAGAGACGGGGTTTCACCTTGTTAGCCAGGATGGTCTCGATCTCCTGACCTCACGATCCACCCGCCTTGGCCTCCCAAAGTGCTGGGATTACAGGCGTGAGCCACCGCGCCCGGCCGCAATTGTCAATTTTTACAAACATATGTTGAAGGCCCTGCATATCAATGCTTTAGATTCTAGACTCAAACCTCACAGAGATGTACCAGCTTCTCATCCTGTTCCAATTTATATTTTCTATAACCATAGAGATTTCAAAAATTTTTTTCTTTGTTACCCATACTTTTCTTCCCTTCCCTCAATCTAAGGTTTCAAACCTGGCACTTGCTTGGTTAGCTATGATGAGTGGGGTGTGGTAAATCAAATGCAGAAAATTTCAAGAGGATTTATAAAAATGAGAATACTGCCTGCTGGTGGGGGTGTGCCTTCTGAAATGAGTTCAGCTGATGGTGGTGTAAACTAGTAGAACTCTTTTGAAAAGCAATCTGATATTCAGGATGTTATCAGGCTCTATAAATATTAATTCATTACCAATCATATTTCTTTTATACCTCATCCACTTCTTTCTGCCACTGGGTTATCTTCAAGAATAATCCAAACATCATATCATTTCATCTGTAAAATTCAGTATTTCCTTTTTTAGACATAGATCCTACTTTTAAACTATAACCAAAATACCATTAATTCCACTCAGGAATCAAAATAAAGTCTTTAGTAGCCTCACAGAAACAGTAAGTGTTCACATTTCCCTTACTAGTGTGTACATCTCATCTACTGCCTCCTCTCTTTCCTCTTATTTTTCTTTTTAAAATATTAATTGAATTTGGTTTCTGTATCTTTTAAATCATTTTAATCTATATTAACAGTTGTTATAACTCTTGGCAATGGAATATGGATAATTTCTTCTGTTTTCATCTGCTTTTGTATTTACCTAATCTACAAATCAAATGAATTGATTTTAATCTTCCAAAAGGATTACAATATATTACATAAAAACAAATTACAATTTAACTAAAACTTCCAATTCAGCTAACAATGGAACAGTCAGCTTAGAAAAGCAAAATGTTTGGCATTAGAGAATGAAAGAAATATGGTGATTACTGATTTTAAAAATATTTAATTGATTTATTTGTTGCAAGTAATATAAAGTGATAGCTGGGCTACTCTGCCCTCTCCTCTTTTGTTCATCTCCCGTGGTATGTATTGACAACCTGTGAATTTCAATGAGCTTTCTTTTTCTCTCTTTCTGTTACCTACCACAATTAGCTTTCTAAATTTCTAGTGTGTTTAAGGAATTTACTTCAATTAACTTCGGTCAGGAGGCGATGTTGCACACTCTTCTGACATAGCCAGATATTGGGTTGCCCACAACAATTCTATTTTTTAATAAGTAACCTGGGATAAAGAAAGACCTGAAAGAATGAAATACACTGATTAATAACCCATTTCCACTGTGTTTTCCCAATGTGTATTTTCAGAGGAAAAGAGAGATTTAGGACTAAATTATGAGCGGAGTTTGCATATTTAAGTACCATCCAACAACATAAGAAAAAGCAAGTAGACAATCTCTGGTAATAGTTTTTAGTTTCTGTGGGGCTTCCCTGTTATTATTCCCTACCTGCAGTGAGGGCTAGATTTTAAGCCTATCAAATTCTCTATTCTAGATACCACAGCCATCTTTATCAACTTCCCATGACATAAAACCACTCTGCAGCCCTTATTTTTCATTGAAAACATTCTGCAGAAGATTCTTTTACTATGAACTAATAAAAAAACGAGTCCCTGTTTTATACTTTTTGCTTATAGATATTGTTGCTCTTACAAGAGGCAAAATAAAAACATGTATAGTCTCCCTTTCATATCTTTCAATTATCCTTCACCTTTTGTCAGAGCCTCTCTGCAAATATCCCATACCTTCAAGCTGTCTACCAAGTCCTATCAAGGGGCCTAGTAATCTTCTTTCTCCGCTGCCATCAAAATGATCTGTTCTATATCCATTTGTCTAACAGTATATCTTTTCAACTTAACAAATATTTTCATATTAGTGTGACTATTAGGTATTATACACAAACTCATTATTTATTGGGCATCTATTATTACCAGTTGGGATTTTGTGGTGTGTATTGCATGTTGTAATATTCACACAATTATTTCTAGTAATCCTCATCACTTTTGAGGAGAACATTTTTACCCTTCTACAGGTGAGATAACCAACGTTTAGAGGACTAAATAACTTGGCAAGGTTTACAAAAAACAATAGAGGGAGGTTTTGAAACCAGAACTGCCTGATCACAAACCCCATGATTTTTATTCCTGTCTTCCATTTCAAGCTTTTCATACTCTCAGAGGACATCACAGACTTTGGGAAAAAAAATCTGTCTTCTTTTATCTATGCATTCTTACAAGGTATAAAATGTCTTACATGTTCACGAATTTGGCAAGCAGAAAAACGCTGTTACAAATGCCAACTACAGTTTCGCAGGATATTTGCAGATTTGGTAAATGGCAAAATTTAGCTTTTAGCACATTGAAAAGGGAACTCGGTATCATAGTCTATCTTCTGACATTCCAACAAAAAAATAGGGAAGTGTATTTTTAGAATATAAACGTGTCCTTGCAATATGTTGCCAACAAACCTTTTTGAGTTAGATTTCAAAAATGCCCTATTGAAATTTTAAAATTGCCCTACAATCTAACACTACGAAGACAAAGATTGAACTTAGTGGCTATTTGCTCAGCAGCAGTCACGTGTTATCAATGGGAAGTGGAGTATTGAATTCTTTTTTAGTAGACACCTCTAAAGGTTGAATTTATTTTTTCACAGCTATAAGGATTAAGTTGTATCCTTTACTAAGCATGGAAATGTGATTAATTTTAGTCAATACTCTGTTCACAAACTAAGTTTCTCTTCTGCATTATTTAACTGTCTGCCTAGTATAACAATGATGAACAACTGTGATGATAAAACATATTAAGAACAAAGACAACACAAGACAAATATTATCCCCTCTTCCTCATTGGTAGTGTGGTGATAAGAACAGGTAAAAGGTTACCGGGTAACCATTAATGGCAGTGCTGTGTCTTAATGCCCGAATATGAATTATGCAGCTTAATCTAGAGAAGTATTCATGTGAATGTCCTGGAAAAATAATGATAAGTTTAATAGAGAAAGTGGAAAAATTAATTATTGAATCTGTCTGCACCCATAAAGACCTCCCATCTAAACAATAAATATTTGAAGTTGCATTTTGACCTTTCTTACACCTTTCACGTAGGTTTCCTTTCTTTTACAAAATGCTACAGAGAATGGAAGTGTTGTCAATTAAGTAAAAAGGGTGTTTGCATCAACCTTTTCATGTGTGGAATTTAATGACATTTTAAGGTTAAAGTAAAAGTCAAACATCGATTTTTTTAGTGTCTTCTCCTAATGCAGCTAATGAATAGAGATTCCAATAAAAACCTTTTAATCCTTTTTAAACCTGCTACTATCAAAAGACTTATTTTATTGTATTTTATTTTTATTACCAAAGTTTTTTCTCCTACTGACAAAGATTTAGGACAGAAAAAAACACCAAGTCAAGATGACCTAGGGAATTCAAATTCAGAACATCTTGAAAATACCGTGTTCTAAAATAAAGTTAATTGGATGAGTCGTATGTATGCATAAACCTTTTAGAAGCCACGATACTGGAAATTCAAAATTCAGGCAATTAGATTGGATGCTGATAATTTTCTAGATGACTGAAAAGATACTTAGATGTCTTTTACTTGAGCTACAAAGTCTAGTAAGGAAGATAATTATTTTTTCTACTTTATATTTTCTGTATTCTATAAAATTCAGAAAGATTAATATAATAAAGAATAATAGAAAGCCATTTGCAAAAAGAAGCTGATGTTTGGTAAACAAGGATCTGGCACCTCATACCAAAAAAAAAATTAATAAAGGGTGAAAGCTGGTATGATATTACAGCTTCATAGTTCACAGCCAGTTTGTATGCAGAGGGGAGCCTGCAAAATCCTTTGAACAAATTCAGAATATAGCAATCCTAATGCTTGAACAATCCATTAGAAATCTAAAAATATCTCATCTTCTTCAGGTGAGTCACATGGACTCATACTTCTCACATGTAATGTCATCACATTTTTCTTTAGAAAATTGTGTTTACACTGATTTTTCAATCTGTACACAAGGTTTGGTAATGTTCATAGTGGGCAGGTAGAATCATGTAAGGGCTCTCTTAATAAATGACATGCTTACTTCCATGACATTTAAGTAGGAGAGCTATTGGTCTTTTATAGACAGAGTTAAATGCAATAAAAGCAAATGTCTCTTTCACAGTAATACCTTATGTGATTATTTGTTCTCTGTCTAGACTCAGAGGCACGATTGTTTTCTAAATGTGAACTCACATTTGATTTTGTCATAAGCTTTCAGTAAAACACCATTTTAAGCCTTCAGTTAGTTCTCGTTTAGAATATGTTCATCTAAAACAGTTGACCTTTGTTTCTAGTTCTAAAATTACATATCCTTTGTTTTTAATTAAGTGTCAGAAAGCCAGAAGTACTAGTCAATACAAACAAACAAAAAAGGATATTTTGTTGGACAACTTTTAGACATAAGTAAACTAGTTACTAGTACAACTAGTACTTTTAAACCTTAACAGGTACTCAGCTCCTCAGTAGAAAAAAGCAACTTTCTCAAGGGACTAATCAACAGATGAAGAAATTAAAGTACTCAAGATTTGGAAGACCATTGAAACGTGCTTCTGAAGACTGCATAAACTTGTGTCATTTTTGTTTTTTCCTCACATCTTCAGCAGTTTGTTCTTTTTGCTCAGTCCATCTTATAACAGGGAGAGATCTCATTTCACTGACACCATAACATTATATCACCCACCCAATTCTTTCAAAATCTCGTCTACCCTGGGCCTTATTAGAATTCCTGAAGCCTTGCACGGACTGGAAGAACTAAAGATAGCATGCCAGCCTCATAGAGGAAAACAAGTGTATAAAAGACTTACTTTGGTAAAATGGGATTCTGAGATGTTGAAGAAAATCTCAAGAATCTTGGAATAATTCAGAGCAGAGAGATAGTTTTCAAAATGTTAATTTACTCACTAAACAAAGATTTATTTAACATCTACTATGTGCCTGACCCTCACTGGGTACTGGTAGGAAAAAGACAAACCAACTCAATCATGGACTCAGGAGCTTTCTGTTTGTTGAGATAGATGGACAATTGCAATATGCAATTTATGTTCTGATGGAACATAGTGGAGGCACATTCTAATACACAGGAGAAATGATCCCCGAAGGCTTTCCAGAATTGATAGCTAAGCTGAGTTCTGAATAGCAAATAGATATCAGTCCATTTCTGATATGGGGGTGGGGCTTGAGTTGGGGAGTTGAGTAGAGTTAGGAGAGGGAATAGCATGTATGAAAACCTAGGAAATAGACAGTGTGACATGCCTGAGGACTAGAGGTAATTCAGTTTGGTTGAATACCACAGGCCAAAAGAAAAAGTTATAATAAACAAGATTAGAGTGTTAAGTAGTGTTTTGGTAGGAAGCTTAAAAATTACCCTTTAGGAAATGGAGGGAATTATCAAAAGGTGTAAATAGGAAATGGTTTTGCTGGACTGAATTTTAGAAAAGGTAGTCTAAGGCAGTGGAGAGAATGGAGTAGAAGAAGAAACACTGGAGGGAAGTAGAGTATTTCCAAGGCTAGTGCAAGAATCAGAAGATGGATAGCTGAAGGCCTAAATCAATGTTTTTCAGTGTGGTCCCTGAATGTACAGCATTAACATCATCTAAAAACTTGCTGGAAATAGAAATTTTCAGACCCCACCCAGACATACTAAATTGAAACTACAGATCTGTGTATTAACAAGCCCTCCAGGAGATTTTAATGCAAAGCAAAGTTTGATGCTTAACTAAAATAGCTGCAATTAGAATAGAGAAAATGAATAGAGTTGAGATGCATCCAAAGGATTTCATCTCTCAAAGCCTCCAGTGACAATGTTTTTAAGTCAATGGCTTCTTTGTCTCTAACACAAAGTAAAATGAAATTATTAAATCAATGTAATACTATGCCAATCTATGAGGTAGTTTTGTGGTATTAGCTTGCACCCAATTTAGCATTTATAATTACCTGTAACAATTTGTTGTCATAATGAAACCACTGTGTATGCCTTTTCTTTGGTACACACAATGTGAACATTATGTTTTTGGACCTCTTTATACCTGTGTAAACTCTGTGGTTATCAGCATTATGGAGCTACAAGAGCCTTTAAAACAAAGAGGTTTCATTTATCTGATTTAGTTATGAGGGGATTTCATATTCCTTCTCCACTATTCCACAAGGAAGTATGCACTAAACCACAAGGATGACCTATCCAGACTAGAGAGCACTTTTATTGGCTAATACCAAGCATGTAATTATACATATTCCCACATTACATGGTGCAATTATTGGAAACTGTCACTGTACTTGATCCTTATTTTGAACTTGAAGTTGCTAGTTCTGTAAATACTAACAAACTTATAAATAAATCCCTGTTCATACAGTGATAAGAACTTGTTATGTACATCACATGCTTATTATGTCCACATATTTTGCCCAGGTAGGTTGGCCTGGATGAAATAGGTAGTTGTAGTGTGGGAGTCAAAAGATATCAGTAAGTTCTGCCCCACAGTAATATGAACCACAATATAGATTGTAATAAACATGATTATTTAAGTATAGCTTTGCAATTTATGTTTAACTTTACATATATACTATCAAACTTACAAGGTGATGGAGGTTGAAATAAAATAACCTCCACTTCATGGATAGTTCTCAATGGGTTAGTAAAATCACAGTATTAGAGATTCATTCTTTTCAACTGAAATAATTTCTATTTCAAGCTCTGAAGAGCGTTAAAAGGATTAGTGCATTAAACATATAAATAAGTGATTAAGCTTTTTCATGAGCTCTAGATATGAATAAAGATAATGATGATGATGATAGCTGACATATATCTAGTATTAATTACATGCAAGTCAGTTTTTTGCCTTATATGTATTAAATCATTTAATACTGCTAATAACTTTAGCCAGTAGATATTATTACCATTCTATTATTTAGAGGAAGAAAATGAAGGAGAGAGAATTTAAATAACTTGACAAAGTTTTCTGAGATTTTAAGCTTCAGAGCTGGATCAAACCTTGGTGGGCTATGTCCAATGCCCTCTGCTTAACCCTGCTTCAAGATCGTACTGTAAAGCACTTGAGATGTGCTGAGGGAGTGCGGCTCCTTCCACTTTTGGAAAACACATGAGGGTAAATTCTGAGGCAGTAAAGCCTGAGAAAATCAGGGTAGTCTACTGTGTCTGTGTATCTACATTTTGTCGTAGGGGGTTGGTTGTAGTAAACCAGAGAACAGAATGAGGTGAGAAGGCATGAAAGAATGAACTCTTTTAATTTGCTTTGTTAGCAAGCTTCTGCACTAAGTCCAAGATTATCAATGAATACAAACTAAATTCAGAATTTCTTCTTTACATAAATTTCCAATGCACACGAAAAAAGCCTCATGTATTACTCCTCAATCATCTTTTCTCAAACAGGTCAATAAGATATCTCTGCTACTCCAGCTCTGAAAGAGCTAGGGTGTGCCCAGCTGTGAAAAAGTACAAAGAGACTTGAATTTGGAGTTAAGAGATATATATTGAACACAAATTCTTTCATTAACTTGTTGTGAGATTGTGAAACTCAATTCACTTATCCTCTCAGTATTTCAGTATGATGGGGATTTTTTTTTCACTAGGATGTTGTAAATGTTAAGTAAAATCTTACGTATAAATAGATAAGTAATTAATAAATACCAATAAGTAATCTAATGATAAGCCATTGTGGTTAATTAACTATTAACTCCAAAAGAGATTTAATATAGTCACTCTGGATAGTTAAAAATGTCAAAAATGTAGAGGGTGGTAAAAGACAATTATCACTAACCTTATACTGAAATATCAAACTTGTAACTTGAAAGTTTGTCACGAATTTGCAGCCCTTGAGGGATAACAAGATGGAACACTGAATGACAGGTGCATTCACTTTTGTATTTCTTCTGTAAAACTTTACCCCACAGTTTGCAGTTTAAAACAACACAAGTTTGATAGTTCAAAGTTCTGTAGGTCAGAAGTCTGGGCCCAGTGTGACTGGGTTTTTATCTGTAGGCTTGACTGAAGGAAAGTCTTCTTTTAACCTCATTCAGTTCCTTACAGCTATAAAGCTAAGGTACCCATTTTTTTCATGGACAGTCAAGTGGTGCTCTCAGTTGCTCAAGCCCACTTGCATTTTCTGGCCATGTAGCCACCTCATCTTCAGTGTTGAATTCCTCCACACTTCTGTTTTAAGGGCTCACTTGATTAGAGCAGACTTACCCATGATAATCTTCCCATGTTAATCTCAGTTGGTTTGGAAACTTAATGTCATCTTCCAATATCTTCACTGCAGTACTTAGGTTAATGTTTGGTTATGTAACTAACTAAAGATATATGTGCATCAAGGAGAGGTAATCTTGGGGGGCCAATTCAAAGTTTTCCTACCACAGAGGTCATACAGTGCTTCCTATTTCTACAATACTCAATAAAAAACTTTTGGAATGTTCTGCTTGATCCAGTGACTTGAACTGTTCACCATCTCTGTCACTGTTCTATATGAAAACCTTATCTTACAGCTATTACTGATGGGTGACACTGTCCAAGTCCAAGAGAACTCGACAATCCTGAATCCAGAAAAAGGTCACAACACATGTTCTATTTGCATATTTTTATACCACTTAGCCTGCAGCTAGGATTCACTCTCAAATCCTGATTCTTTTTCTCACACAGCACAGAAAAAATTAGAATTTGATCTAGTACACAGATGGGGTCAGAAACTAGGTGTATTTGTCTGTTTTCACACTGCTATAAAGAACTACCTGAGATGGGGTAATTTATGAAGAAAAAAAGCTTTAATTAACTTACAGTTCCACATCGGTGAGGAGGCGTCAGGAAACTTACAAGCATGGTGGAAGGCAAAGGGGAAGCAAGAACCTTCTTTACATGGCGGCAGGAGAGATAGATAGCAAGCGGGGGGAACTGTCAAACATCTTCCAACCATTAGATCTTGTGAGAACTCACTATCATGAGAAGAGCAATGGGAAAACCACCCCCATGATCTTATGACCTCGCGCCAGGTCCCTTCCTCAACATGTGGAGATTATAATTTGCAATGATATTTGGGTGAGGACACAGAGCCACACCATATCACTGTGTGATACTCAGAAGAATGTTTTTGGGGATTTAGATTTTAGGTAAGGACAGAAGGACAAGTTCAGAAATGATAGCTATCATTTTCTTTCCCTGACTCATCACAAGGCATTAGCGTGTTCAGATTCAGGTGAAGATCAATACTCAGATAGAGATTACAACAAAATTTAATGTAAATGATGGTTCTATGATGATTCAATATCCTTCCCTTATAAATTTATACAGATGCTGACCTAGCAATAGATTAGCAGAATGTTTATTGAGGTCTTGTCCATGTACTATGTGGATTCAAATTCCTGAAGAGAATTGTTAAAATGCAAATACTTTGTCTTCTCCAAACACTTGCCAAATCAGAATTTCTAAAGCAGAGATTCAACAATCAATCGGCATTTCTAATAAGCTTCCCAGATAATTCTAATCTCCACTGGCTTGGAGAGTTGGGATTATTGAAAATATTTCTAATGCATTTTAATGTACTAATTACAAATTCTGACTATTTAAGCCCTACAGAAAAATCCAGAAATATGTATTAAACCTCATATTTAGGCTCTGAATCATGTTTCCCGGTTTGGAAGGTATTTCAATGACTTAGTGTCTAGATCTTCTATAAAATAGCATGTCCTTCTGAGTCATCTTAAAGTGATGTTGTTATCAATAACATTTTGAGCTAGGAGAGACTTTATAAATTATCTAGACCAATTATTTTTTGTTTTACAGATAAGAAAAATGAGGCATGAAAAGTTTAAGTGACTTTAAAGTTTGAACTTTCGTCACCATTTAAATGGTGACTTGAAAACAATGTACAAGATTTGATGTTCTGTGGTCTTTCCAGTGCATCATATTCCTACATTTTTATGTAAATCTAGCCAATATTAAAACACTCTCTCACAAAACAATTGCAATTTAAGAAAATAATCTACAATATTTTTAAAAAACTTAAAGGCATATGGCATGACTTTTCAAAATTTTGACTTACCCATGGTATACTGTCGGGACTCTGGGCTTTTAAAATAGATTAGGTGGTAATACTGTGTTTTGGTTTGTATCTGGTAAAATAGCACCAATATCAAGTGTATTATTTTTCTTTAGCACTTTAAATGTTCCATATGCCATCCTTGGCATATTTAAACCTCATTTTATTTTATATGCAATTTAATAATTTAGGTTGCAGATGCCTATTGCTTTAGTTTTATTTGTGCTGTCATATTTTGAAGTAGATGTTGCTTACACTTCAAATAATTTTTGTAATTCATTATTATTTGGTTTATTTCACTGAATGGTAATGCTTCTATTTTTACATTATCAATATTTAATCTTGATAGATAGCTTTATTGTAAAAAATGAAATAAGAAATTTACTGCACTGGAGCATGATAAAACATTTTAAAATGTCTCTACTTGATAATATTTGTGTTTTATAGGGATTCTTCTTCTATACACAGAAGCTTTTCACATTTACTTTTTAAAAATGACTGATGAAAACAAGTACTTAAAAACATTCTCCCCATCCAGGTGATGGTGTTCTAACATTGTATCACTTTGAATTTGAAGAGCATAATGAAACTTTGGACCCTTAGGTTGTGTGAATTAACATTTGAAAGAAAGAAGGAGTTGGAAATGAGGTTGGTAAATAATCCCTATGAAAGAATCACAATAGTGAAACTATCTCCAAACATGCACACTCAAACTACCCTCCAAGTTTTGTATATTCGAATGCATTTGTCAATTTATCTTGTGATGTAGCAGAATCATCACCAATCACACGTTCTCTGAGGTTAACAAGCTTTCTTTCTAAAATTAAAAATGTTTAGGAGGTTAAAGAATCATTATTCATTCCATACCATTGACTAATTGAGCGCCATTCTTCCCTCTCTTTCTTGTGCAAATTTATTTGGTAATATTTACAGAGAGAAGAGAATGGAGCAAGGAATTCTAGAAAAAAAATAATTGAGCGATTGGCAAGTCTGACCAGGGTGGCATAATCAGGGTCTTTGAACAGTATGTAGTGATACAGTGATAAGACACCATAGAGAACTTTTTGAGGGGTGTGTGAGTATGCGTGTATGAGAGAGAAAGAGAGATTGGGACTGAAAGGAAATGGGAAGATGCTTGCTCTTTGGCTTTTAGCCCAGACTCCATTGAATGTAATGGATTTCCAATAAGATTTTCTTCCCTAGAAAATGACATTCAATTCAATTCCAAAAATATAGCCATTGTGTTTCCACTATATGTAAAACATTATGACAACTCAGAAAAACAAATAAACAGTGCTAACCTTTTTCACATATTTATAGATAGTCCAAATAAGAAGACATATAATGATTTAATTTTTCAACTTATATAATAACAAAACCACAGAACTTTTATAACTAGAAGAAAACTTAGACATGCTGTATCTTAATTTCCTCAGCCCAAGAAAAAAGGAACTGAGTCCAAGTGAGGAAAATGATTTGCCAAGAGTTCCAGAGAAATATCCTAACATTATCCACCTGTCCAAAATAAATGTATATGAATGAGAAGAAAAACAGGTTAAAAGGCAGGCCAGAAGTATACTATGATTACTATTGTTCCAAATTTGTTTATAAACAACTAGTATAATTATATATGCTATCTGATACAGAATCTCTTTGACCCTAGCTTGGCTATGAGATACAATTGTGAACTCTTGATTCATTTTTCATCAAGGTGAGGCTTTATCAGGCTTCTCATTTTTCTTAGAAATTCCACAATTTTCTTAACTCATTGTGAAAATGAATGAGAAGATAGTCATTATCAATAGAGTTTCCAAAAGTGTCTTCAGAGTGGACACTAAGACGACAAAGTTAGCCAACTGGCAGATTCTAACGCACAATTAAGGCCAATTGGAAATTCTCAATGTTCTCCATGAGCCTTGTACACATAGTCCAGTCAGAGCAAGGGCCAACACTCTCCATAGCAATTGTTGAGTATCAGCTGCCTGTTGAAAATGGTGTTTTGAGTTGCTTCTTAAAATCTCTCTTACAATGATCAGGAGATAACTCAGATAGATATGATATATTTTAAACTAGTGTAAAACACCTAAAGACTGAATGCTCATCAATTTCACTGCAGAAGCTTGTCTTATAACTTTTTCCCAAGCCACAGAAATCTTCACTTAGTTCTTTTCTTGGTCAGCTCATTTAAAGATTCTTTCTCACATCAAAGTGATGTAATCCAAAAACATTCTTGTCACCCAGTGGCATCAATTTACTGCAATCTCACAATTTCCCCAGGAATCTCTCCCTGGTTAAATGATCTGCCTCTCAAGCCGGTTCTTGTTAAATTTTACCCCTTTATTCATTGTATTTTGGGAATGAGTCCAAAGGTACAATGAGTCTCCGATGAAGGACTAATAAGCCTATGAACTTCCCTGCAGAAGTACCGCATCTACTGCACTCTGATTGAGGTGCGCCTCTGAGAATTAGCTACATTTTGCAATCATGAAATCTTAGGGGCCAAGGCATACATACGTCTGGATTTACTGATCTTCTCAGTTGTATAACCTAATGAATAAGTATCCTGTTATGGAGCAGGCCAGAATTTAGGAGCTTAAGTGTGGACCTTATAATTTTCCTGTCTGACTTTAACAACAAATAATTACAGTGCATGACCCTTTCTGGGTCCAAGGTTTGAAGGTTATGTTTCATTTATATATCCAGAAAAAACAACAGACATGTTAACTGGCTAATCATTCTTCCTCACATCTATTGCAAAATATAGAAAATGATGGAAAGAAGATAATCACAAAATACACAGAACTTGGCTCAAATTCTGGTTCTTAAACAAACCAATTAGCTTTGTGACATCTGGGAAATTAGCTATCTCTTTTAATCTGCCTCATTTGTGAAATCAGAATCAGACAGCATGTACCACATAAGTTGATCCTCTAGATTAAAATATTTAAGATATGTGAAGTACAGTACCTGTGACATATGGAAGTGCACGATAATAAATGTTAATTAGTCCCCTTATTTCCATGTTCTTCTTCACAAATTGAAAAATGTGTTGAATGAAGTAATGCTTAATATGAACACTAAGCAATCTATATGTGTAACAACTCTAGAAATACAGATGTGTTTGGATAAAAGCAACATAACAGGATTATCATTGTTCATTAATTTGTCATCAGTTGTAAATGCAACAGAGATAATCTATTTACGGACAACTGTATGTTCCTGATATCCATATTTGGTATTTAGTATTTCTTCAGATTCTCTTTCAATATAGCATAACAAGTGTTAATACTTAAATGTGTAGGTAAGGCTCTACCTGCAAAAGATTACTTATGCCGTTATACCTAGACTTCTATTGGGTTAAAAGAAAATGAAATTGCCTAATTCAACAAAATTTGCGATATCATAAACTTTATTTTTGCATTTGAATACTCAGTAGAAATCAAGGGGAAAGTCTGTCAAGTAAATAATTAAATAAGTAGAGATGGCAAAAATTAGCCTCTGTAGGCAAATTTGACATAGCATTGACAAAATACCAGGACCTGATCTCAAATTGAGTTCAGCAGAAGGTTGGAGCATAAAGCGACAGGTAACTATGGAGAGAACATAAACCTCTTTATGTAGCCCTAAAAATATTGGGGTTTGCTTATTTGGGTTTTATTAATGGTGATTCCAAAAGGAACATACTACCATGTACATGGAGTAAAGTTCTAAAATTTAATTAGCAAGTGGGAAGAACTGATATATCCCAGTGCTTTATCTTCTTCCTTTGAATATCATTTCAGAATGTGTTCAGTAAAATGGAGCGAATATGTGTGAAAATAATTTTAAACTGTTTTCATTTTGTATTATTGATATTGGTTTATAAAATTTAGAATACAGCCTTTAACCTTACCTTTCCCTTCTCCCTCTAGAATAAATACATGCAGACACACTTACATACGGTCACAGGGACACACACATACACACACACAGACACTCACACACACTCACACACAACCAGACTTGATCATGTTTTTACAAGCAGAAGACGGAAGCAGATGGTAGAAACCGTGCATTCCTAGCAACAGATTTTGAGACCACAATATTATTCTAGCAAAACAACAAAACATACCACTTATATAAACTGATCAATATATAACTCATTAATAAGTCTAAATATTTGTAGCAATTTACTAAATAATTAAATTAGTGGTGATCTAGACAAAGTTAATAATATATTCTGCTTGAGTCTCCACCCTCAGATTATTTTACTTTTCCA
Source organism: Homo sapiens (assembly GCF_000001405.40). Lineage (NCBI taxonomy): Eukaryota > Metazoa > Chordata > Mammalia > Primates > Hominidae > Homo > Homo sapiens. The sequence continues at coordinate 51,295,607 of NC_000002.12, forward strand.
GAGAAGATGGAAGAGAAATAGAAATAATTTAATTTTCTTTGGCAAGGAAAATTACTCAAAAAAGACCAAAGGAAATAGATATTTTTAAAAGACAGAACTGAGCATGGGGCTAGTGTTTACCTAACATAAAAGAACATCTAAAAACAAAATCAAATAAGCAAACAAGAAAGCTGCTTCCTATTATTCACAACACAAGAGCATCCCTAATACAGATTTTTAGATTTGGAGAACACAGGATTCTAGCCTATTAGAGAGAATACACACACACACACACACACACACAGACACACATACACACAGAGAGAGAGAGAGAGAGAGAGAAAGAGAGAGAGTTCAAATGCATTTTTGTTACCTAGAGAAACAATAAGCCTCCAGGAGAGTACAAGAAACAAAATACTCAAAGAGCTGAAATATTGAGGGAGAAATTGATATTGCTGTGGTGTTTGTTTATAATATCAGAGTCTATGTAAAGAACCTCAGGCTGATACAAATGAATAATAAACTAGCAGACTGTCAAACTATCTTTTTATGTCTTCAAAATCTAATGGAGATAAAGCTTAGCGTAGTGGTCAGATTTGCTAATTCAATGAGTGGTCAGTGTCCACAAGCTGAACATAAAACATTAGTACGTCAGGAAAGGATTTCGAAGGGTCATTTTTCTTCTCTTGGCATGATTTTCTTTAATGAAAAAGAGAAGCTGTGATTTTACACTCTGCCAAAATTTATTTTGATTCAGTTAGGCTCCACAGAATCTATTATTTAGACCATACTTTTGCAAAATCTTGCCTAAATTCCCATAATTTGTTATATGCTCTTGAAAAACAAGATAAAACCAATATCACATAAGACTGTCTGGGAGTTCTGGGCCAGAGGAAGTTTTTCCGTTTGGGGCCTGATTTTCCCCCCATTCTTAAACATTTTGATTCAAATTTTAGAATGCAAAAATCCGCCGAATGTCATTATTTATGAGCAGCTTGAGAATAGTGGCTTGTAATACCAATTCACATGACCCCATAAATAAATTGATTTATTTTCCTCCTTAACACATTAGAATAACCTGTTAATCAAGCAAAGTCTAGTTTATTATTGTGGTCTTAATAGTTGCTCAGATAAGAGAGATCAAGAGTGGATAATCATAGGGTGTAGGGGTTTTGGGTTGGAATATTTTAAGGTGGGTCTTTCCATGTGTGGATGTAATTGATTTGGCCAAACTTTGTATTATAATAGTTTATTTATCATTGATGAACACAGTGATGATATAGTCTTTATGGGTAAATAGTTGATAAGGAAGCAAGTTAGTTCAGTAAAGTGATCTAATGTCCTAAGCAGGGCTCTTTACCTGAGGTGCAAATTGTATCCCAACGAAAAAAACTGGTTTAACAGTTTATTGTTTGGGTAAATGGAATGTGAGGGAGTTCCTGAGGCTAGCAAGAACATTATTTACCATTTTTACTGCTTTATCTTCTTGGTAAAAAATTTCTATAACAAACAATAGAGTCATTTTGATGTAGAGACCCTGTTCTTCATCCTCATAATTAAGCTACGGAACTGCAGATATCTCAGTTTTCAATAATGAATTCACATGATCCAAAACATCAATATAGCCACATATATTTAAATATATACTAATCAAACGTGCACATGTACTCCCTGATTCTAAAATATAAGTTGAAAAAAAAGATTAAAAAGTAATAAATAAATACCAGAATCCTTTATGAGGAATACAGAACTATCTTCTTAGTCTCAGATCCACTCTAGAAAACAGAGTTTAGTTGATAAACGTAGAAAAGAAAGATCAAATGTGTTTCATGTAAACATGACAATTTAATATCTTAAGACGTTAAGCCAATACAAGCACAAGCCAACAGGCAGAAGAGTGGGAAGAAGATATTTTGTCCTCCCTCTGAGACATTACAATATGAGAGCTGAGCTGGAAAATACCAAAATAATCCTGAACCCATACAGCCTGAAGAAGGTGAAGTGAAAGAGCAAAGTATAACAGCAGAAACTATGGGACTTTCCTTTTGTATGATGAGAGAGGCAACTCCCAAGTACAAATAGTGAAACATGTCTTCTAGATCACATGTTTGTATCCTTTATCATGACTCAGAGTCCAGCACAGCAATATTGGAGGAAGGGAGGGTGCAGGTGGGCTGTGTGAGCAGAAGTTCCTAGCATCACTTCAGCCCTGTGGGTATATATGTGCTGTGATAAGGGAAGTGGCCTGGAGTCAGGAGTGAGCGGAAGAATAATTACCTTCTCTTTGATCTCAACTGTGGTGAAGGAACATTTAGATCCCTTCATCATAACTTCAGAATATATCTGAGGGGGTGGAAAAAGGAAAAGATTTATTTCTGTGTAAAAAGAGATAACATTTAGATTCTTGCTGGATTGGATTGTATTTCCTTGTGCTTGGCTGGTATGTGTGTTTCTCTCTCTCTCTCTCTCTCTCTCTCTCTCTCTCTCTCTCTCTCTCTGTGTGTATGAATGACATAGATTATATAAAGAGATAAAATATATTTGCATTCTCTAAAAGCAGTGTATATTTTCTCATATAATTACCCAACGAACTTACAGATATAACAAGTTTGACATGGGGATGCAAGTCCAGAATATTATCTAAATGGCCTTGATCAAGTCATATTTTCATTTTAGTTTCTATTTAAAAATACTTATGAACAGCCAAAATTTGTGTAACACTTTAAACTTTTTATAAAATATTTTTACTTGTAACACCAGAATTTTCAACCTTTAATGAAAACTTGTCTGAAAGGTAAATATAAACAGGCAAGTAAGAGACATATGTTATGGGTTAGATATTTCCAAGGGACTAAAAATACTATGAAATCTTTAACATGTAAAATGCATATTTTCCCAAGAATTACACAATGAATAAATGATTGTTGAAATATGAGTGAAACAATAAAACACATTTCTAAATAATTTTTTTGCCTAAATTTCTTCTTAGCTTACCTGAAGTTATGCTTATTTGGTTTAACCATCAAAATAGTTACCAGAAAATAATTTGGTTTAAGCATCAAAAGAAGAACTTGATGATGAAGACTCTTGTAAGTGAGTGAAGAAGGGAGTCACTAAGATATTGTGAGGCTGATTTTGACAGCTTCACATAAATAGGACGCATCATTTAAAATAAATGTGAACTTTTTTCTACTAATAAAAAAGGCAGAAATATTTTGTTCCCAAATAAAATGTTCAACAGACATACAAACCCTACGTCTAAAGTTGTTTTTTAATTTCGTAATTTTAAAGATTTCTTTAATCCTTCCACTACTACCAATCCTCTGCTACGATCTTCAGTGACGTGTTTTCAAGTTTTAGTCTTTTCTTTTCCTTCAAACATATTCAATCAATTTCTGATCAATAAATGTCAAAATGATAACAAATGACAAAAATTTACTAACTTTAAAGTACTTAATGATGTCCATATTTCTCTCAAATAATCATCAAAGAATTAGCACTTTTACATTTCCTTTCTATACTCATTTTTATAAAATGATATCAAAGGACAATAAAATATTCAAATAGCTTTAAGACGCACTGTCATACATGTTAAAAATGGTTACTTTGCTGAAACAAGAATATTGGCAATCAGTTTTCACCATCTCAATTAAGAGATGCTTGTATGGTGCAAGGTTGCCATTTTTTCCCTGCATCCAAATTCTCAATTTGAAGTTTGTCTGTCTCTATTTCTTTTCTTCTCTAAATTACTAGAACTTGGAAAACATCAAGAGAGTAGAGGCCTTGGGTTGTTCAGCTCTGTGTCCTCTTGCACAGAATAATTTTGTAACATGTTTGGCACATGATTAATGTTTGTAAAATTAGTGAGGAGACACAATTCTTCCGTGCTGCACAAAGTTTTGCTCACTGTCTATTCTTTGCAATAGATACAGCAAACAATAGTTAGCCACCATAGAAACATATCCCATGATTTGGCAGTGGAACAGACAAAGGAGTAGCTGAACTCAGAGACTGCAAACTTCACAGGCCAGACAATTAAAGGAGATGTCAAAAAGAGAGGAAAAGTTAGTCTGGGTGCCAAGTAGCAGGGGAAACATCCATTTCTTGGAAAGCATTAAGTGAAAAAGAAAGATGACAGGTCCCAGTTCCACAGAAGCTGAAATCATATGGAGGGAATGAGAGTGGGCTCTCTAGCATGAAAGGGAAAAAGGGTAGTGATGCTTGAATGCAAAGCACTGATTTGATCACCAGCAAGATTTCTGTTACTGGGACTTGAGCAAAAGTAAGATATGGTCAACATCAAACTTGTACTGATATTCACTTCTGAAAATCCTGATCTTTGGTTTCTTAAATTTTGACAATCTTGAGGGAAAAAACTGTTTCAGATAATAGAGTAGGATGAAAGCTATATATAAGGGTAACCTCAGCTTCTAAGAAAATCATCACCCAAGGACTAGAAACTGTGATGGTGGATAACCAATATTCCTGTAATTATTGCTAGTGTGTTAGATGTACCTGCCAGATTTATTAGAGTTTAGCAGGTTCTACTAATGATTTTAAAAATATGGTTCCAAACCTAGGACAAATCTTCTCTAAACATGTATAGCAGAAGAATTAAGAGGAGAGTAAAAGAGGACAAGAGATGTGACTTTATTTTAAATATAATCCTGATTTTGCTATTAAATTTTTAACAAAAATAACTAAACAAATTGCAGCCATGGATTGTTATGTCTGTCTAAAGTGAATTAAAAAAACATATATTTGAATATCTATCTCCCTTAATTATTACTTTAATTAAAAAAATAGGAAATTACTTTTGCCTCTGAATTAAATATATGCTTAATATGTAAAACCTATGCAATAACATTAACATATATAAGGCATACACATATATAAGTGGTTATAATATAGGGAATTATAGCCACACTGGAAGTGGTAATCTTTATAGTACTTATGTGGGTCAAAAGAAATACTTTCTGCATAGAATTCTTCTTAATCTTCAGGCGTAGACAGGTTCTTATTTTTTTTTCCTCCCAAGAGTAAACATCTAATAAATAGCAGAGCCAGTTTCTGAACGTGAAACTATTTGACTCTGAGGTTCTCTACACTACATGCCTAGAAAATTTATGATATTAATCTCTAAGTATTTATCAATTAACATAATATTTGTTCCTATACAATAACTATATTTATGCTTTTATCACTCTAAAATGAATATAGTTAGAAATGTGTCTATGGAACAGTTGATTTCCATACTGTAATCGTACTATTTTTTTTACCTTTGAATCACATATTACTAAAGATAGTTTATTTTTCAATGCTATGGCTTTTCTCTATTAATAAGAATGAGAGTGTGCAGTCTAGGTATTTCATTACTAGAAATTACACTCCGTCTAATTATCTCTAAATAGACACAGTAGAAAATAAGCTATGTCCACCTAATTATGACAAATCAATTTAAATGAATTTCATCCTAGTCTGATGCTTTGTGTCTATGCAGGAATTCAACCAGTCTGGTCAAGAAGAACAACTGGATCAACTAGGGTGTTTCCCAACTTGAATAAATTCCCTGTTGTTACTCTCTGTCCAGAATAGATAACTTGAATCTTTCAGCAGAAACTCTCTGGAGTATTGATCTTAAAAAGAGGATTTTGAGGGTTGAGTGTTCTAATTCTAGACTGTCAAAAAAAAAAAATCAGAAACGAGGATCAAGTTATCATATTCAGATTTAAAACTCAGAGGTCAAACAGATAATGATGTAAAAAATAGTAGATGAAATTTATAAGAGGAAGCCTCCTGGGTTGCACAGTAAGCTAGAGCAAGGCAAAGGCAGAAAAATCAGCAGGAAAGACAGCCCAGGCGATGAAAATTTTAGAGCTGTCGTAAGAATATATTTCCCTGGTCCTTTCATGCATCCCAACCCTACTCCCATTGCTGCAGGGTTAGGACACCAGCTAATTTCATGATACCGTGCCTAGTCTCCCATAACTTCTTAATTGCTCAGAATGCACCAGTATGAGTTGCTGCATTCCTAAGCAGTCAAGAAATAGGAGAACAAACTGGTTTGGTATGCTAAAGGATTACAACTAGAAAAGGTACCAGGAGAGGAAGACACTGGGTTCGGGGTCTGGAACATCTTGTAAGATAGTATTCCCAAATAATTAGTTTTAGTATAAAGGTTATTGAGATGGACATTTTTTTTTTTAGCAGATGGCCAGGACTTCTCCTTGATATTCTATTTTTACAGGTATAGTGGGGCCCAAGAATCTAACATTTAATATTTTCCCAGGGTAATTTTTATGATTAGGAATGGTTGATAAACACTAGTACATGATAGGATGAAAATAGTAGGAGAAAATACTAAGAATAGGAGCAGATTAATTGCTGATTTTAATTATTTAAGTGAAGGCTATGAGAAGAAGTTGTAGACTTACTAAATGTGGTTCTAGGAAACAACATTCAGAAGTTGGAGAAGCATTTTAAATGACTTGTATTATTTTATTGTACGTTAAAGATTCCTGAATAAGTAGAAAATGCTTATTATGGAATAATAGAAAACCAGTTAAACAAAAAGATTAGGAATAATTAACCATATAATCACTCTGCCAAAAAGTCACTATTAATTTTCCTGTGCAATAATATCTCACATCTCAGGGACATTGTTCTTGAAATGTCTTCATCATGTGTGGATAAAATCTGTCTTTACCAAGGTTAAGTTTTTGTAGAAAAAAATGTTTAGAGAAGTCTTTTCAAAATGGTTTTGTCAGTCAGCAGTTTCCAGAGAGACAAAACCAATAGGATATATGTGTGTATGGGTGCTTGTGTATTTATTCTAGGTTGTAGTTCACATGATTATAAAAGCTGAGAAGTCCCATGAGCTTCCAGCTGCAAGCTGGAGTACCACGGAAGCCAGCGGTACAATTCAGTCTCACCCCAAAGGCTTGAGAACCAGGCAAGGCTGATGGTGTATACTCAGATCTAAATCCAAAAGCCCAAGCACTGGAAGCTCCAACGTCCAAGGGCAAGAGAATACAGCTGTCTCAGATCAAGCAGTGAGAGCAAATTAACCTCTTCCTCTGCCTTTTTAAAAATGTATAATAGGGTCTCCAAGGATTGGATGATGCCCATCCACATTTTTAAGGGAGATCATCTTTACTCAGTCCACAGATTCAAATGAATCTGTGGAATGAGTGAGTGTTTCTTCTGGAAACATTCTCACGAAAACATTCTCACAAACATTAATTCTCCAGAAATAATGTTTGACCAGCTATCTGGCCATCCCTTAGCCCAGTCAAGTTGACACGTAAAATTAATCATCACAGTGCTGTCAATATATTAAATGGAATAAATAAACATTCATGACAGTCCCCTCTTCCAAATCAGCTACATCTGTTAGTATCTAATATTTAATAATAATTCTCCATTTTAAAAAGTCTTAGAAATGAAATATTCTGATTGAACATTTTTGTATTGTTATAGGATAGGCCCGTGAAGGGGCATAAAAGTAAGTTTGTCCACACTCCGTCCTAGAAAGCAGATATACTTCGATTAAAGTTTGGCCAACTTCCACAATGTTCCCTTAGTATTGCAGCATTGCCGTTATTGAAGAAAAAAATAAACATTTAAAAATATAAAACAACAATATTCTCCTGAAAGGTCTTCAGGAATTTTTCACAAACTATTGCAACCCATTGAGGAAGATTGTTTTACAAACCTTAGGTTGATAACTCCTTTTCTTAATATTTTGAAGCAGCCCACACATAAAATGTCTTATGTAGTTGTTTTCTCTCTTGCCAAGACAATTTTGACAAAATCTATTTTAAAATACTTGATTTTTCACAGATTATCTTGGTGCTTAAGTCCACATTATCAGACTCTTATTCTCTCTCTCTCTCTCTCTCTCAACACACACACATATGTTATTTAGAAAAAAAGAATGACTAGTTTATGCATAGACAATTGCATTTCTGACCAAGTTTGTGAGGCTGTCATTATAAAATATATTAACTAAATACTTAGTGATTTTTGGTAGCCATACTTTAAATGTAGAGCTTGTATATTCAGATCAACTAATATACTGTGATCTGCTTTTGAAATGCCTAAAAGGCCAGTCATGGTGGCTCATGCCTATAATTCTAGCACTTTGGGAGGCCGAGACGGGTGGATCACCTGAGGTCAGGAGTTCGAGACCAGTCTGGCCAACATTGCAAAATCCCCTCTCTACTAAAAATACAAAAATTAGCCAGGTGTGCTGGCGGGTGCCTGTAGTCCCAGCTACTCGGGAGGCTGAGGCAGGAGAAATGCTTGAACCCGGGAGGCGGAGCTTGCAGTGAGCCAAGATCACGCCACTGCACTCCAGCCTGGGTAACAGCGAGACTCTGTCCCAAAAATAAATAAAGAAATAAAGGCCTAAAACATTTCTGTAGTAAAAATTAGTACCCAATAAGAAGGTGAAACATTTTCATTTTCCAAAAAGTCTGAAAAATGTGCTGAGTTTCAGGAAAATGCCAGACATGTAACCTGTAACTCTAACAGGGGAAATGCTAACAACCAAGGACCATGCATGCTCTACTAACTGATGGTGTGTTTCATCTCTTACTCTGTCAGATATGAGGGTGTCAGATATGAGGGTAAGTTTCTATCAAAATTACCATTGATAAAGTCCTGGAGCATAGATATGTTTATAGAAGAAACTTCTAGCAAGAAATGTCTAGGATGCTAAAGGAAGTAAAAGTAATCACTTTTCATTCTTGGAGTCACCATCTGGGGAAATGTAAGACAGTATTTTTAAAGCCTTAGCTACCACTTCATTACAAACACTTCATTAGTGTTTTTCAGCTGCTCATTTGTCTCTTTTCTCTCCACCTGCACATCCTCCCAGCCAATTTTCAATAATGGCTGTCCCTTTTCCCAGCCCTCACTGTGCCAAGCACTGGACAGATTCTGAAAGGCTTTGCTTCAAAGTGAAATGGAGAATTTGGCTAGGACTTAGCTGCCATGGAGACATCCTCGATATTTTGCTTCCAATACACATTTGTCTGAATCAAAGCATTTTTTTTTCCAATTTGTTTTTTTCTTAGTGGTTCCTCTTCCTTCCCAACTGCTCCAAAGCCATGCCTACCAATTTGTGAATTAAAGAAACCAGGCTTTTCTTTGTTTCCAGCTTTCGCTTGTTTAGCATAATTTAAACACTTTTTTCATTTTGAAGTCTATGGCATATACTTATACAACTCTCTATCTTTATTTCATCTACCATCTTCCTGAATTATCTTTTATTTCTTCAGAGTCTATTTAACTGACTTCATTTCCATCCAATCATCTGACTTTAGCTTTTGCACAGAGGACTCACCTAACAGCCTATGTATACTTAGACTACTCACTTCAAAATATCCTAATTTACCTTTTCAAGTCACAATAATCACAACTCTGTATCACAACCGTTTGAAACTTTTCTTGATTCAACCTGAAAAAAACACAATGTTCAAAATCTCTTCTGTTTCTAATCCCATCACCCTGTCCAAATACCATCATCTTTATGCTGGAATGCTAATATATTTCTGTTGGTTTTCTCTGAGCCCATTCCTCCATTCCAGTCCATTTTCTACCCTGCACCTGCACTTGGAGCATTTTTTTTTCATGCCCCACCTCCATTTTAAAGTGGTTCAAGTTTTTCTTTCTTAAATAGATGGAGTTAGTGCTGTGCTCTACTAACTGATGGTGTGTTTCATCTCTTGCTCTGCCACATCAGATATGAGGGTAAGTTGCTTAACCATCAGCTGGGCAGGGGAGGAGGGCAGAAAGAGGGGGGTGGGTGATGAAAAACTCCCACCTGTACCCTTGTAGCATTCGCCAAATTTCCATAGTATAACTATTCCTGTGGTGGATAATTTCAAGCTAGCAATGTGATATCTCTGAGTGTTGAGTTGGAGAAAGATGTGCACAATTGGCCCTGGAAAGCCAGTGGAGATCAGTTCTAGCAAATCACCAAGTAGAGGCCAACTCCTTAACCTGAAGTTTACGTCCCCGCTTCAGCTGTTCCCTCTGACCTATAAGCCATGACTTGCCTTAGAATCTATCCACTGACCATTCTGGACCTTTATTTAGTTTCTCAAATGTGCTGTATGCTCTGCTTTCTCTAGCACTAGGGACTTCGCACACATTCTTTCTTCCACCTGGAACACTCTCAATGCCACCCTTGCCAAAGTTGAGATCTCATTTCTGTCATTTTCTTGAAGAGATCTTCCCTGATCCCCACTGCACGCCAGACGAATCCAGAGGTTTTATTATGTGCGCACTGCGCATGACATACTTCTTCCTCTCTTAACACTGTTGTAATTTTTACCTCTATTTTTGTGATTGCTTAATGTCTCTCCTCAACCAGACTGTAACTCTTAAGTCTAAGAGTTATGCCTGGGTATAATTATGATTTTATCACTAGTGCCTATGTCCAGCATAGTTCTAAGCATACAGTAGTTTCTAATTAAAAATAATAAGAACAACTTATGTTGGATGAAAAAAATGAAGAGATATTTATCCCTTTCTTTACTGAATGGTACTTGGCACATTCTAGGGCTTCATTAGATGTTTATTGAATGATTACCTGAATATTTCACTTATTGTATTTCCTTATTTCTGCTGAAATCAGTTTTTACCTTTATTATGATCTTTATTCCTCAATCTAATATTTTTCTCCACCCCTTACTTGCTAGCTTCTAATTCTCTCCTCCATTTGTTATAATCCTGAAGCCCATATTTGAAGTTATTTTAAATGTTACTGTTATAACCATCACCTGATGAGCCATTGGCCTTTATCACCTTTATGTATAGAGACTACACTCTTACCATTTGGGGAAAATCCATTGGTATTAAACTTAGTCTTAATGAGAAAATATTGAATTGAAAAAATGGTAGTAAGTAATAATGGAGATAATTTAACATAAAGTTATTAAAATCAGATATAGAATAAGATAATTCATTCTTGACATAGATATTTTATGAGAAAACGTGATTATTTGTAAGTAAACATTCTGAGTGTAATCTTGAAAAATTCTCGACAGCAGTCTACCATGCGCACTCAGAAATACAAGCCATTATATAAGTGGTAGATTTAATGAGCCCACTCTGACATTCTGATTGCTAATATGGATGACATGTATGAATGAACCTAAATAATTAAGGCAAGTTCTCTTAACATCATTAGCGGCATTTGGTAAACATATTGTGATTCTAGCGAGCCATGTTATGTAGGTGTTGATACTTAAAAATAAGTAACTGAATTGTATAAAAACAAACACACTAAATCAATATATGATCTTTCCAGCTTGAAATTTGTCATTTTTTTCCCTGATGCTATGTTCAATAGAACATCTGCTGAGATAGCTTTTACTTTTTTTTTTTAAATTTTTGAAAGTGAAGCAGATTCTCTTTACCTGTGCATCTTTTGTTTAAAAAGTCAGAGATGCCTCTGTTTCTTCCAAAAAGGCCATTTTTAAAAACTAACTTTGAAAAATAAGGCAGAAAATCTATTCTATCAAGATTTCTATTTAAACACTATGTTTAAAGTGCTTGTGCTTAGTGTTTTAAAAGCTAGAGGTATTTCTTTTGAAGTGTCAATCTGACCATTACTATGATTTTGATGGTAATTATAGTGGAATGCCTGTATTTCAAAGAGTGAGATCAGAGTTCATTTTAATCTCTGCACTGAATGAATTTGGCAGTGTTTCTGTGTCTGCTGAGTTCTGAGTACATATATTTGCAATGCATTTTGATGTCATAAACTCAGAGTTTGGGTATATCTGGGTAGTTGGACTAGTTGGCTATATTAGCAAAATATTCAGGAGTTTCAACAAATGATATCTAATATTATAATCATGTTTGGAACTTGTTTTAGGTATAGAAATTATCAGATAAATACCACATATACTTCTGTAGAAATTATTTTGAGTATAATTCAAACTGCAAATTGAATAATACATATATGAGTATATGTATTATATATGATACTTATCAAAATATACGTATTATATATGATACTTATCAAAATATATGTGTTACATATGATATATCAAAATATATGTATTATATGATACATATAAAAATATGTATTCTATTAGATATGATACATATAAAATATATATGATACATATCAAAATATATGTATTCTATTACATATGATACATATAAAAATATAAGTATTCTATTACATGTGATACATATAAAAATATATATTCTATTACATGCAATACATATGGAAATATATGTATTTATGTTACATCGAAATATGTAAATACCTGTTAATTTTCATAGGGGAAATTCTAAAATAGATTTTATAAGGAATGCAAAACTATGATGTAACTGTTTGGTCCCCACTTATAGTGGTAAGACAAAACTACTGAAAATTGATAAAAATAAAATAATAAAATTAGTATACAAGGCAATATTATTACAAATCACAATGCAGTACCTAAGTACCAAATGAGGTACCTATGCATAAAATTTCATAGCAGCTTCTTTCTAAAAGTAGGACCACAGGAGGCAAAAGGAAAAAATAAATGGAAATACATAGTACTAGAATTCTTTAGCATACTATTCTCAATCTAAAACAGATAAGTAGACAAAATGTGAGGATATAGAAAAATGAAACAAGGTAAGTAAAAATGTAGACATCATGATTATATATTGAAAATGATACCTATAAGAGAGAATTCACATTCTCAAATATGTATAAAACATTCATAAAAACTGACCATATATTAGCCTGCAAAGGCAAACTTAACAAATTTCATAAAGATAAATAAAAACAGCTCTCTCTTATCACAATGCAAGAAAACTATACATCAATAACAATAGACAAAAAGACTTTTTTTTTTTTTTGAGACAGTTTCTGGCTATGTCACCCAGACTGGAGTGCAGTAGTGTAATCTCAGCTCACTGCAACCTTCACCTCTGGGGCTCAAGCAATCCTCCCATCTCTGCCCCCCAAGTAGCTGGGACTACAGGCATACGCCACCATGCCTAGCTAATTTTTTAAATTTTTGGTAGAGATGGGATTTTCCCATGTTGCCCAAGCTGGTCTCAAACTGCTGAGCTCAAGCAATCCACCTGCCTCAGCCTCCCAAAGTGCTGGGATTACAAGAGTGAGCCACAAGACCTGGCCCAATACTTTTTTTTACATTGAAAAAAATAATAAAATACTATGTCGAAGAAGTGCAAACCAAAATTTAAAAAATAATTTTAAAAACAATGATACTAAAAATCAGTACATTCTAGAATCTATAAGATCATATTTTTAAAGACATTATACAAAAATTTATAGCAGCAATTACTTAGATCAATGAAAATACAAAGATTACATTGAAAGAAAATGAAAGTAATGATATAATAAAGATAAAAGCAATGAGCGAGGATGAAAAGTCATGGAACTAGTGAAAAATTTAAAAAGTGAATTCTTTATAAAAAAATCAAAATATGTACATTATTATTTAATCCAATTAATTAAAAAGGGAGAAAACATAACTATAAGAGAACATGACAAGGGGAAAAACTATTGAGACAGTTGATTTAGAAAAAAATGACTACTTTTTGCAGTTAGAGTGTACTAAAAATAAGTCCTACAGACATGCATGTGGTATTTGTCTGATAATATCAATGGTATTGATATTATCAGACAAAAAGCAAGTTCCAAATGTGACTACTTTGCACAAATACACAGCTACATCAAAAAATACAATATGAAACGGATAATTTTGAAGGAAAAGTAGTTTTCCAGTATTGACCCAAAAGAAAAATAAATTTAAACAATTTCAATTAAAAAATTGAAAATTTATCACATAATTATCTTAACAATGAGTGCCAAGTCCCAGAGTCCAAAGGCCTGAGAACCAGGAGCACAGAAGTTTGAGGAAAAGATGGATGTCCCAGTTCAAGAAGAAAGAGATAATTTTCCCTTATTTTATGTTTTATCATTTCCAAAACATTCTCACAGACATACCTAGAAATAATGTTTTACCAGCTATCTGGGCATCCCTTAACCTAGTCAAGTTGACATATAAAATTAACCATCACAACAGGCTATACCAATCAGCTACTCAAGGCATGCCAGATAATACTGGGTTCAAATTGCCCTAATTCATTTTACTCATAAAACAGAAGTTTTACAAGAAAAACGACTTGAGAAGGCCAAGGGCTACTTCCCCAAACAGTGCCCCCTTGTAGATTGGCAGTGTCACTTTGGCCCTGCCGCCAACTCAAGAGCAGTGACATGAAAGTTCTCCCCGGGGAAAGGCAGATCATAAGAGCAGAGAGCTCCACAGCTCGCAGTTCTCACTAAGGGGACCGATTTTATCAAACGTGGAGTAGATTTAGTCTAAGGGCACTGTAGTAAAGAATGGAAAATTTAATGGTAAGCAGTTAAGAAGGGGCTGGTATTTCCACTGGGCAGCAAACAAAAGCATAGGGTCACTAGAGGTTTAACAGAGAGAATCAGGAAAAGAGACAGATAGACAATCTTCCTGGGGTCAGAACAAGGCTCAAAAAGTATGCTCAAACAGTACTCTTTTAGAGAGATCAAATTTAATTTGATCAGACTGTGGAGTAAGTAATGACATTTATTTTCAAAAATTATAGAGCAATCAGCTAGCATTAGTGGAGGCTAACAAGTGAGAGAACTTTTCCCTAGCCAACCTCCCTTACAAGAAATTGTAATAGGAATTCATTCTTCAGGGTGAAAGCAAGTAACAGAAAGTAAAAGGATAGAAAAAAGGAAACTCTGTAACAGCCAACATAAGAGAGCTGGGGTGGATATTTTATTAGACAAATGGATTTTAACAACAACAAAAAACAGAAATAAAGGAGGACATTTTTAAATGAAAAAGGGTTAATCCAAAAGAAAGCTATAATAATTATAACTATATATGCACCTAAAAAGAAGCAAAATTCTTCTAAATTCATGAAGCAAAAATTGGCAGAATTGAAGGGAACAATAGAAAACCAAAAATAATAGCTTAAAACATGAAAATTGCACGTTCAATAATGGATAGAACAACCAGGCAGGAGATCAACAAGAACACAGAAGCCCGAAACAACCCTATAAACAAGTAGATCTAACAAACCTCTGTAGAACACATCACCAAACAACAACAGACTATACATTCCTCTCAAGTGTCCATGGAACATTCTCCAGAATATGAGAGGCCAAAAGAAATGTCAATAAATTAAAAAGAATTGAAATCACATAAAGCATGTTCTTTGAACACAATGGAATGAAATTAATTAATAAAAATAAATTTGGAAAATTTAAAAAAATGAGGATTTACCACTACACTTCTAAATAAACAATGGGTCAAAGACAAAATCACGAAGAGAATTAGAATATACTTTCAGAAGAATTAATGAAATGAAATAAAAACAAAACATAACAAAACTTACAGGGCACAGCAAAAGGAGTGATTAGATGAAACTTGAAAATGGTAAATGTCTATATATAAAAAAGTTAAGAAGATCTCAAATCAATGACCTGACCTTCTACCATAAGACACTGAAAAAAGAAGAGCAAACTAAACCTAAAGGTAGCAAAAGGAACGAAATAATACTACTGTTAATAATACATATGATAGTAAAATTAAGGAATTATAGAAATATATATAAATACAAAAAATCAATGAAACAAAAAAAGATTCATTAAAAAGATAAAATAAATTGACAAACTATTAGCTAATCTGACCAGAAAGCAACAGAAAATATTCAAAATGACAAAATCAAAAACAGAAGGGGAAAAATTACCAACCTTATAGAAATAAAAAGGATTATAAAAGAATGCTACGAACAGCAAGGGGTATGTCATCAGATTAATTAGATGAAACTGACAAATTTCTTAAAACATGCAAACTACGAAAACTGATTCAAGGAGAAAAAAAATCTGAATAGGTCTATAATAAGCAAAGCAGTTGAATTAGTAATTTAAAACTTCCCTCTAACAGTGCAGACACACAGAGCTCATTTAAAGAGTAATTAATACCGATTCTTTATAAACATGTCCCAAAAACAGAACAAAAAGGAATACTTCCCAATTCATTTTATAAAGCCAGTACCACCCTCATATCAAAGCCAGTCAAATAAATTACAATAAAATAAAACTTTAAACCAATATCATTTATGAATACAGATGCAAAAGCCTTAACAAAATCCTAAGGAAAGAATCCAGCAACATATAAAAATGATTATGCTCCATGACTGAGTACAGCGTATCACAGGATGTCAAGAGTGGTTAATTTCTGAAAATCAATTAATGTAATACACAATATTAACAGAAACATATAACCATCTCAGTTGTCACATAAAAAGTACCTGTACAATCCAATACCCTTCCATATTTAAAATATTCAAAAAACTGGGAATAGAAGGAAACTTCTTTAACCTGATAAATGGCATATATAAAAAACTCACACCTGGCCAGGCACGGTGGCTCACACCTGTAATCCCAGCACTTTGGGAGACTGAGGCGGGTGGATCGCCTGATGTCAGGAGTTCGAGACCAGCCTGACCAACATGGAAAAACCCCGACTCTACTAAAAATACAAAAAACCTCACTGGGCGTGGTGGCGCATGCCTGTAATCCCAGCTACTCAGGAGGCGGAAGCATGAGAATTGCTTAAACTCGGAAGTCAAAGGTTGCAGTGAGCCGAGATTGCACCATTGCACTCCAGCCTGGGCAACAAGAGCGAAACTCCGTCTCAAAAAAAAAACAAAAAACAAAAACAAACAAACAAAAACCTCACACCTAAAATCATACTTAATGATGAAATACTAAACTCTTTCTCCCTAAAATCAGGAAGAAGACAAGGATGTCTGCTTTTACCGATTCCTTTCAAAATTGTGGTAGAGGTTTTAGACAAGGCAATTTGGCCAGAAAAACAAAGAAAACACAAATTGGAAAGGAAAAAGTAAAACTATCCCTATTTATAGATGATCTCATTTTGTGTATATCAAAAATCTTAATGAATCTAGCAAAATACAATTAGAACTAAAAAATGTGTGCTGTGATATGACAAGACATAAAATCTGCCATTATATAGGTGAATCTCATTCATTCACCTTTTATAAGTATTGATATGAAGAGAGATTATTTCTTTTTTTAAATTTTATTATTATTATACTTTAAGTTTTAGGGTACATGTGCACAATGTGCAGGTTTGTTACATATGTATACATGTGCCATGGTGTGCTGCACCCATTAACTCCTCATTTAGCATTAGTTATATCTCCTAATGCTATCCCTCCCCCCTTCCCCCACCCCACAACAGTCCCCAGAGTGTGATGTTCCCCTTCCTGTGGCCATGTGTTCTCATTGTTCAATTCCCACCTATGAGTGAGAACATGCAGTGTTTGGTTTTTTGTCCTTGCGATAGTTTGCTGAGAATGATGGTTTCCAGTTTCATCCATGTCCATACAAAGGACATGAACTCATCATTTTTTTATGGCTGCATAGTATTCCATGGTGTATATGTGCCACATTTTCTTAATCCACTCTGTTGTTGGACATTTGGGTTGGTTCCAAGTCTTTGCTATTGTGAATAGTGCCGCAAAAAATATATGTGTGATAGCAGCATGATTTATAATCCTTTGGGTATATGCCCAGTAATGGGATGGCTGGGTCAAATGGTATTTCTAGTTCTAGATCCCTGAGGAATCGCCACACTGACTTCCACAATGGTTGAACTAGTTTACTGTCGTCCCACCAACAGTGTAAAAGTGTTCCTATTTCTCCACATCTGCTCCAGCACCTGTTGCTTCCTGACTTTTTAATGATCGCCATTCTAACTGGTGTGAGATGGTATCTCATTGTGGTTTTGATTTGCATTTCTCCGATGGCCAGTGATGATGAGCATTTTTTCATGTGCTTTGGCTGCATAAATGTCTTCTTTTGAGAAGTGTCTGTTCATATCCTTCGCCCACTTTTTGATGGGGTTGTTTGTTTTTTTCTTGTCAATTTGTTTGAGTTCATTGTAGATTCTGGATATTAGCCCTTTGTCAGACGAGTAGGTTGCGAAAATTTTCTCCGATTTCATAGGTTGCCTGTTCAATCTGATGGTAGTTTTTTTTGCTGTGCAGAAGCTCTTTAGTTTAATTAGATCCCATTTGTCAATTTTGGCTTTTGTTGCCTTTGCTTTTGGTGTATTAGACATGAAGTCCTTGCCCATGCCTATGTCCTGAGTGGTATTGCCTAGGTTTTCTCCTAGGGTTTTTATGGTTTTAGGTCTAACATGTAAGTCTTTAATCCATCTTGAATTAATTTTTGTATAAGGTGTGAGGAAGGCATCCAGTTTCAGCTTTCTACTTATGGCTAGCCAGTTTTCCCAGCACCGTTTATTAAATAGGGAATCCTTTCCCCATTGCTTGTTTTCTGAGGTTTGTCAAAGATCAGATGGTTGTAGATATGCAGCATTATTTCTGAGGGCTCTGTTCTGTTCCATTGGTCTATATCTCTGTTTTGGTACCAGTACCATGCTGTTTTGGTTACTGTAGCCCTGTAGTATAGTTTGAAGTCAGGTAGTGTGATGCCTCTGGCTTTGTTCTTTTGGCTTAGGATTGACTTGGCAATGCAGGCTCTTTTTTGGTTCCATATGAACTTTAAAGTAGTTTTTTCCAATTCTGTGAAGAAAGTCATTGGTAGCTTGATGGGGATGGCATTGAATCTATAAATTACCTTGTGCAGTATGGCCATTTTCACGATATTGATTCTTCCTGCCCATGAGCATGGAACATTCTTCCATTTGTTTGTATCCTCTTTCATTTCATTGAGCAGTGGTTTGTAGTTCTCCTTGAAGAGGTCTTTCACGTCCCTTGTAAGTTGGATTCCTAGGTATTTTATTCTCTTTGAAGCAATTGTGAATGGGAGTTCACTCATGATTTGGCTCTCTGTTTGTCTGTTATTGGTGTATAAGAATGCTTGTGATTTTTGTACATTGATTTTGTATCCTGAGACTTTACTGAAGTTGCTTATCAGCTTAAGGAGATTTTGGGCTGAGATAATGGGGTTTTCTAGACATACAATCATGTCATCTGCAAACAGGGACAATTTGACTTCCTCTTTTCCTAATTGAATACCCTTTATTTCCTTCTCCTGCCTAATTGCCCTGGCCAGAGCTTCTAACACTATGTTGAAGAGGAGTGGTGAGAGAGGGCATCCCTGTCTTGTGCCAGTTTTCAAAGGGAATGCTTCCAGTTTTTGCCCATTCAGTATGATATTGGCTTTGGGTTTGTCATAGATAGCTCTCATTATTTTGAGATATGTCCCATCAATGCCTAATTTATTGAGAATTTTTAGCATGAAGGGTTATTGAATTTTGTCAAAGGCCTTTTCTGCATCTATTGAGATAATCATGTGGTTTTTGTCTTTGGCTCTGTTTATATGCTGGATTACATTTATTGATTTGCGTATGTTGAACCAGCCTTGCATCCCAGGGATGAAGCCCACTTGATCATGGTGGATAAGCTTTTTGATGTGCTGCTGGTTTTGGTTTGCCAGTATTTTATTGAGGATTTTTGCATCAATGTTCATCAAGGATATTGGTCTAAAATTCTCTTTTTTTTGTTGTGTCTCTGCCAGGCTTTGGTATCAGACTGATGCTGGCCTCATAAAATGAGTTAGGGAGGATTCCCTCTTTTTCTGTTGATTGGAATAGTTTCAGAAGGAATGGTACCAGCTCCTCCTTGTACCTCTGGTAGAATTTGGCTGTCAATCCATCTGGTCCTGGACTTTTTTTGGTTGTTAAGCTGTTGATTATTGCCACAATTTCAGATCCTGTTATTGGTCTATTCAGAGATTCAACTTCTTCCTGGTTTAGCCTTGGGAGAGTGTATGTGTCGAGGAATTTATCCATTTCTTCTAGATTTTTCTAGTTTATTTGCATAGAGGTGTTTGTAGTATTCTCTGATGGTAGTTTGTATTTCTGTGGGATCGGTGGTGATATCCCCTTTATCATTTTTTATTGCATCTATTTGATTCTTCTCTCTTTTCTTCTTTATTATTCTTGTTAGCAGTCTATCAGTTTTGTTGATCTTTTCAAAAAACCAGCTCCTGGATTCATTAATTTTTTGAAGGGTTTTTTTGTCTCTATTTCCTTCAGTTCTGCTCTGATGTTAGTTATTTCTTGCCTTCTGCTAGCTTTTGAATGTGTTTGCTCTTGCTTTTCTAGTTCTTTTAATTGTGATGTTAGGGTGTCAATTTTGGATCTTTCCTGCTTTCTCTTGTGGGCATTCAGTGCTATAAATTTCCCTCTACACACTGCTTTGAATGCGTCCCAGACTTTCTGGTATGTTGTGTCTTTGTTCTCGTTGGTTTCAAAGAACATCTTTATTTCTGCCTTCATTTTGTTATGTACCCAGTAGTCATTCAGGAGCAGGTTGTTCAGTTTCCATGTAGTTGTGCGGTTTTGAGTGAGTTTCTTAATCCTGAGTTCTAGTTTGATTGCACTGTGGTCTGAGAAACAGTTTGTTATAATTTCTGTTCTTTTCCATTTGCTGAGGAGTGCTTTACTTCCAAGTATGTGGTCAATTTTGGAATAGGTGTGGTGTGGTGTGGTGCTGAAAAAAATGTATATTCTGTTGATTTGGGGTGGAGAGTTCTGTAGATGTCTATTAGGTCCGCTTGGTGCAGAGCTGAATTCAATTCCTGGGTATCCTTGTTAACTTTCTGTCTCGTTGATCTGTCTGATGTTGACAGTGGGGTGTTAAAGTCTCCCATTATTAATGTGTGGGAGTCTAAGTCTCTTTGTAGGTCACTCAGGACTTGCTTTATGAATCTGGGTGCTCCTGTATTGGGTGCATATACATTTAGTGTAGTTAGCTCTTCTTGTTGAATTTGTCCCTTTACCATTATGTAATAGCCTTTTTGTCTCTTTTGATCTTTGTTGGTTTAAAGTCTGTTTCATCAGAGACTAGGATTGCAGCCCCTGCCTTTTTTTGTTTTCCATTTGCTTGGTAGATCTTCCTCCATCCCTTTATTTTGAGCCTATGTGTGTGTCTGCATTTGAGATGGGTCTCCTGAATACAGAACACTGATGGGTCTTGACTCTTTATCCAATTTGCCAGTCTGTGTCTTTTAATTGGAGCATTTAGCCCATTTACATTTAAAGTTAATATTGTTATGTGTGAATTTGATCCTGTCATTATGATGTTAGCTGGTTATTTTGCTCGTTAGTTGATGCAGCTTCTTCCTGGCCTTGATGGTCTTTACATTTTGGCATGTTTTTGCAGTGGCTGGTACCAGTTGTTCCTTTCCATGTTTAGTGCTTCCTTCAGGAGCTCTTTTAGGGCAGGCCTGGTGGTGACAAAATCTCTCAGCATTTGCTTGTCTGTAAAGTATTTTATTTCTCCTTCACTTATGAAGCTTAGTTTGGCTGGATATGAAATTCTGGGTTGAAAATTCTTTTCTTTAGGAATGTTGAATATTGGCCCCCACTCTCTTCTGGCTTGTAGGGTTTCTGCTGAGAGATCCGCTGTTAGTCTAATGGGCTTCCCTTTGTGGGTAACCCGACCTTTCTCTCTGGCTACCCTTAGCATTTTTTCCTTCATTTCAACTTTGGTGAATCTGACAATTATGTGTCTTGGAGTTGCTCTTCCCGAGGAGTATCTTTGTGGCGTTCTCTGTATTTCCTGAATCTGAATGTTGGCCTGCCTTGCTAGATTGGGGAAATTCTCCTGGATAGTATCCTGCAGAGTGTTTTCCATGTTGGTTCCATTCTCCCTGTCACTTTCAGGTACACCAGTCAGACGTAGATTTGGTCTTTTCACGTAGTCCCATATTTCTTGGAGTCTTTGTTCATTTCTTTTTGTTCTTTTTTCTCTAAACTTCCCTTCTCGCTTCATTTCATTCATTTCGTCTTCTATCACTGACACCCTTTCCTCCAGTTGATCTCATTGGCTCCTGAGGCTTCTGCATTCTTCACTTAGTTCCCGAGGCTTGGCTTTAAGCTCCATCAAGTACTTTAAGAAGTTCTCTGCATTGGTTATTCTAGGTATCCATTCAACTAATTTTTTTTCAAAGTTTTTAACTTCTTTGCCATTGGTTTGAATTTCCTCCTGTAGCTTGGAGTAGTTTGATCGTCTGAAGCCTTCTTCTCTCCACTCGTCATTCTCCGTCCAGCTTTGTTCCATTGCTGGTGAGGAGCTGTGTTCCTTTGGAGGAGGAGAGGTGCTCTGCTTTTTAGAGTTTTCAGTTTTTCTGCTTTGTTTTATACCCATCTTTGTGGTTTTATCTACTTTTGGTCTTTGATGATGGTGATGTACAGATGGGTTTTTGGTGTGGATGTCCTTTCTGTTTGTTAGTTTTCCTTCTAACAGACAGGACGCTCAGCTGCAGGTCTGTTGGAGTTTGCTAGAGGTCCACTCCAGACCCTATTTGTCTGGGTATCAGTAACGGTGGCTGCAGAACAGCGGTGGCTGTAGAACAGCGGATATTGGTGATCTGCAAATGCTGCTGCCTGATCGTTCCTCTGGAAGTTTTGTCTCAGAGTAGTACTCAGCCATGTGAAGTGTCAGTCTGCCCCTACTGGGGGATGCCTCCCAGTTAGGCTGCTCGAGGGTCAGGGACCCACTTGAGGAGGCAGTCTGCCCATTCTCAGATCTCCAGCTGCATACTGGGATAACCAGTACTCTCTTCAAAGGTGTCAGACAGGGACATTTAAGTCTGCAGAGGTTACTGCTGTCTTTTTGTTTCTCTGTGCCCTGCCCCCAGAGATGGAGCCTACAGAGGCAGGCAGGCATCCTTGAGCTGTGGTGGGCTCCACCCAGTTCAAGCTTCCAGGCTGCTTTGTTTACCTAATCAAGCCTGGGCAATGGCAGGCGCCCCTCCCCCAGCCTCGCTGCCACCTTGCTGTTTGATCTCAGACTGCTGTGCTGGCAATCATCGAGACTCCATGAGCACAGGACCCTCTGAGCAAGATGCAGGATATAATCTCCTGTTGTGCCGTTTTTTAAGCCCTTTGGAAAAGCACAGTATTAGGGTGGGAGTGACCCGATTTTCCTGGTGCTGTCTGTCACCCCTTTCTTTGACTAGGAAAGGGAACTCCCTGAACCCTTGCGCTTCCCGAGTGAGGCAATGCCTCGCCCTGCTTCGGCTCACACACGGTGCGCTGCACCCACAGTCTGGCACTCCCTAGTGAGATGAACCCGGTACCTCAGATGGAAATGCAGAAATCTCCTGTCTTCTGCGTCGCTCACGCTTGGAGCTGTAGACCGGAGCTGTTCCTATTCGGCCATCGGGAGATTATTTCTTCAATATTATCTTGTGTGTTCTATTAAGAATGTCACCTTTTGTGTGTTTATTTTTCCACTTCTGTTCTGTACTAGCATGTTGAAATATGCTGTTTCCCACTCCTTTCTCTACCCCACTTTTCATGCCTGTGCTGGGTTAAAAGCAATGCATTATATTTCTTTTGTGTTTCTTTGTTAACCTAAGCAGTGAATTATTACATTTCATCATTCACATCCAAGTTGACATGCAAAACTCATTTGAATAACTATGAAAGGGGTGTGGAGAAGAGAGTAGGAATTAAGCTACAGGTGAAGGGGAAAAATAGTAATGATACAAGATAAATGAGAGGAACATGGTCCAGATGAATGGCTATGGATGGTCATGACCTGTTCGGTGTGATTAACTCCTCTGTATGCACGTGAGGTGCTCAAAATAAAATTATTCAGAATATATCTCTTCCTAAATATGAGATTTTGGCAATTTTAATTAACTTTCAAAGAATGCATTTTATTAACATTAGCTAGTTTAATTTTATCTTTTTAAAAACCATTATTTTCTCATATTTGTCCATTTCTGTTTTATTTTCATACTGTGTGTTTTAGACTTTCTTTTGAGTTCGCTCAGATTTTGCTAACATGTATGCAAAATGTTGGCAAGCTTGTAAAGTCTTTATAAGTCTGAGTGTGTCTTTATTTTGCCCTCTCTCTTGAATGAGAGTTCACCTCAGTAAAAGCTCCAGATTGTCAGTTAATTTCACTCTGCACTGAGAAGGTATCATTACATTCTCTTTGGCTTCCGTTGTTGTTTTCCAGAAGTCTGTGTCAATCTAATTGTTGCTCATTTGTAGGTAATCTCTTTTGTGTCTGTTAGCTTTTAAGATGTCTTCAAGCTTTTCTATTCTGCAGTTTCACTACAAAGTGTCTAGTTACAGATTTGAGTTTATTTATCCTGCTCCCTGCACAGAGTGTACTTTTGATCTGAGGTTCATTGTCTTCCTTCAGTTGTGGAAAATTAAGAGCTATTATCTTTTCAAATATTGGTTTCTTTCATTCTTTTTCGTCCTTTCTTGTCCTGAGAGAAGCTTTGGAATGGTATTGACTGGCTTCAAATTCTGTCTGCTTATTAACTCTTTGACAACCAGAAGATAAATATATGTAAAGTTATGTAAACTTTGTGTGCATTGGTTGCATCATAGACAAAGTAGGGGAAATGCCCATCTTACCAGAGGATTAAATATCTATCAATGTATAAGTACTTAGATGTAAATATATATGTATGCATATACATGTGTGTACACACCCAGACATATATATGTGTGTATATATACATATATATATATATATATATATAATATACTTACTGTTTCTGAAACCATGTCTCTTTACTACTCCTTTCCATTTCTATTTCTGTGTCTTTTACTATCTCTTCAGTCCTGTCGTGTTTAGAGTTTATCTTATCTTTCAGTCATTTCAATTATATCCTCTTTCATTTGCAAGATTCTAATCATTTTGAGTCTGTTGTTTCATTCCTGCTTGTTTTTGTTTCATAATTTCTTATTTTTTTAAGTGGAAGATTTGTTCATGCATTTTATAGTTTGCAGACTTTCATGTTTTTGGATTGGAAGATGAATTCCAGTCTCTATTTCTGTGTTCACCCTGCCCTACAGAGCAGGTTTTTGTAACCTCTAATTAGCCCTAGGAACTCCCAGGCCTAAGTTAGATTGATGATATTTCTGGGTTTTGCTCGGTAACAATAGTCTGGGATATCATAGACATAGTCATTGAGTCAGTGAGCCATTTGGTTCATTTTCTAGCCACTAAGTGGGGTCCTTTTCCCTCCTACCACTCTCCATCTACAACTTTGAATATGATGGAGCAAAATAAGTCAGTCAACAGATTTTTTTTTAGTTTGTATATTTTAATTTTTTTAAAACAATATTTTTTGACTTTTTTTCTAGTGTTTCTCTCTTACCATGCTTGACTTCAAGAGGTAAGTCTACTTCTGATTCTGTGATTAGAAATGAATGTTACCCCATGGAGCTTATCTTCTTCTGTACAACACCGTGTGATTCCAGATACAGAGCCTAACATGCCCACAGCATCGTATCTAGTCTCTGCTTTGTGTTTTGGTATAGTTTTGGTACAAAACAAACAAATATTTGTTTTTGACCCCAATATTTTCTTTATTTTTTCTCTTTTTATGTATTATTTGTCATTACTATACTTTTGAAGGTGGGTGTGGGGTAGAAGGATAGCAGTAGAAATTCACATGCCATCTTGACTAGAATTCTTCTATCCCCTCCTTTTTAATGCTTATTATTTTGTGTAGTTTCCTATTTGAGGGCACTAATATTCTACTTACATTATTTGTTTAGTAATAAAATATACTGAATATAAACAGCATGCTATTTGAAAAACAACTGAAAAACTGAGACCGTTTAGTCCAGAAAAAATAGGCTTGGAATGGAGGGTCCTGAAAAACAGTGTTTAGATATTTGAAAGGGTGTCAAGTGCAAAGGGATTTATTTAATTCAATTGTGTTGAAATTGAGAACTGTAGTTTGGCTAAATGAGGGAAAACAATTTGCATGGTCTACACTACAGAAAGATGGAATGACAGACAGCCTGCAGACACAGTGACTCTCTCAACCATAAAGTTTTTACTCATAGACTGGGTGGCCATTCAGTAGCTTTTACTGTGGGTTTAAATATGGAATATGTAGGTGGATTTGAATACATGAATTGCAATTCCTTCCCACAACTGAGATTTGACTTTAATTTATTGGAAAAAGGAACAGAAAATTCTGAAGCTATCTTTTATACGGAAGTAGCCATAAGATTGAGGTTTCTGCCTACTCTTAAGAACAAATGGATAATATGTTGGGCATTTTGTCAATTAAAGCTATTAATTTCAGTTAGCTTGGTATATAATAAGATAATTGTCTCATGCTTACATGCACAGCTTTGCTTTTGTAGATCATGGTTATTTACATTAAGGCTTAGTTTATTTATTCACTTAGCAAATTCCTACGTAGCACTTACTGTGTTCCAGGGACTGTTCTAAGTGCTTCACAAATATTACCTCACTTAATCTTCAAAAATTCATGTGAGGTAGGTACTAATACAGTCCCCATGTTACAGATGTAAAAACCTGGGGCATAGAGAAGTTAAGTAACATGACTGAGATTAGAGCAATAGTAATGACAGTGCAAGGATTCAGGGAGTCAGGAACCCAAATCGTTGGGCTTAATTATGACACTACTCAACCATAAAATCATTCAGTGCATCACAAGTAGTATAAAGTTCCTTAGCAACTATGCGCTTTCTGTTGGTACATACTGAAAATGTTATTTACATGTTACATTTGGAAATAATTTCTTTTATATATTAATATACAGGAGTTGTATTGGCCCAGAATACATTCTTTATATAAGATATATGACTGTATGAATGAAAAAGGAAAATAGAAATGTCACAATAGACTATCAAGCTAAAATTTAATTATTTATTGGCATCTTTAAATTCATTGGTGATGTACTTTTCCAAATGGGTTTTGAGTGGTAAGAGCAGAAATTAATTGTTTAATGCATGTTTTCCTTTCAAAGGAGTGTTAAAGTAATCATGGGAACATATAAGTTTCATTAACAGACTCCAGGGTGATAAATCACATTTTTAGGAAACCTCAGCTGGCATTAACATTCCATCCATGACTTGTGTAACAGCAGCTATATTTGTGGAACAATTTGTATGTAAATTTTGAGAAATAAATAGATGTTGAGGTTATCTAAGGAGGCTATTTTCTATGTATGACTTATGATCAATTCTGAGCATGGTGTTTATCATATAGACACAAGAAATAAATTGAA
Organism: Homo sapiens; assembly: GCF_000001405.40. Taxonomy (NCBI): domain Eukaryota; kingdom Metazoa; phylum Chordata; class Mammalia; order Primates; family Hominidae; genus Homo; species Homo sapiens. The sequence continues at coordinate 51,322,704 of NC_000002.12, forward strand.
AAACCAATGCAAACCATAAAAATAGAAGAAAAGTACCCAAAGAGTTTTGTATTGACACATGTTCCCAGAAAATTGTGTGTCTATTCATATTATCTCAAATTGCTGACATGTGCATAAAATCATGTCGCAGAGTTTTTACCATGACTAATAAAGTATGCTACAGGTTTACTCTGTTCATAGGAAAGTGTTACAGGAAAGGGGTCCCAATCCAGACCCCAAGAGAGGGTTATTGGATCTCACACAAGAAAGAATTCAGGGCAAGTCCATAGAATAAAGTGAAAGTAAGTTTCTTAGGGAAGTAAAGGAATAAAAGAATGGCTCCTCCATAGACCAAGCAGCCCTGAGGGCTGCTGGTTGCCCATTTTTATGGTTATTTCTTGATTATATGCTAATAAAGGGGTGGATTATTCATGTCTCCCCTTTTTAGACCATATAGGGTAACTTCCTGATGTTGCCATGGTATTTGTAAATTGTCATGGTGTTGGTGGGAGTGTAGCAGTGAGGACGACCAGAGGACACTCTTGTTGCCATCTTGGTTTTGGTGGGTTTTGGCTGACTTCTTTACTGCCACCTGTTTTATCAGCAAGGTCTTTCTGACCTGTATTTTGTGCCAACCTCCTATCTCATCCTGTGACTTAGAATGCCTAACAATCTGGGAATGCAGCCCAGTAGGTCTCAGGCTCATTTTGCCCATTCCTATTCAAGATAGAGTTGCTCTGGTTCAAACGCCTCTGACAAAAGGACTTCCTAATCTTCACATTCATCCTTACCAGTTTAATTTTAAATGAAGATGTACTACAGAATAATTGAGTTGCTGCTTCTAGCTCTCTCGCTGATCTTTTCTTTAAGTCACAGAAGTGTTTTAGGACCCATGGTGAACTCTACCAACAGTAAAAAAAAAAAATCCATTAACCACCTTCATAACAGTACAAATATTTCTGAACTTACATATTTTTTAGTACCTCTTGCATGTAGGCTTTAGGATATATTATCCTTCAAACTACCTCTTTGGTTTCTTTCTTAATCCCACAGTGACAGTCCTTAGGAAGAAAACAATATAAGAATATTTAAAGTTAAAAATAATTTTAAAATTTTATAAGTAAAATTAAAATAAACACTAAAATGATTTATTTCTATTCAGAAGAACTTGGCTAGCACACTGTGTTTAGTGATTGTTAATTATATATTCCTTTAAAGAACCTTTTTGTGACTAAAGACCACTGAAATCACCTTTATTTTAGGCCAGAAGGCTCATTAATGAATGCAGCTCCTAAAGAATCAGATAGGCCTAATCCAGTTGAGATTTTATCTGCTTCTTGGCTTGGTGGGGGTTTAATTTGCAATCTTTATAGTTCAGAGTCTATAAAAATTAGCTGTCGATCATAAGACATTATTTGGTTTTATAGAATGGATATTACTTCTTTGACAGTCAAGTTCATCTATTTTTTTTTCTCCTCTCTGAGTTCCACCATAGCAAATGATTCCTTTCTGCTTGACATCTCTGTCATCTAATTGTGGTTGAGATTTCCCCCGGGATTGGTTATGAATGAAGGCAGACAATTGCAGCAGATTGCCATCTTAAATAACAATAGAACCCCTGGCTCACAGATGTTCTGTACACTCGTGGTAAAAGAGGAGTTCTAGTGGGAAAGTGGGAGTACAGGTTTGGATGGGAAGAAAATAATCAGGGACTTTCTTATTAGGCTAACCACGGACATTAGCCTAGTACATTCAGAGATTACTAACAAACAATGCTATACCTAACACACTGTCCTGATGTCCTGAGACGAATCAGCAATCTCCTTTAAAGTAGTTTAATAAAAGGGATTTTACGAAAAAGGAATAGTGAAAATGCTTTCCCATGGCAAAGCTCTTGTATATTGTATTTCTTCTCATGGATGATTTGATTCAAAGAAAGGACATTGTAAACTATTTATGAAAAGACTAGTAGCAATACTGATGACTAGCATTTTACTGAACATTTACCATACAGTAAATATTGTGCTAAGTTCTGTATATTTATTAACTCTGAAGTAGATACCAGAAAACCTACATTGCAAGCTGCACTCTTCCATTTACTTGTTAATGACATCAATATTCTCATCTTGTAAAATGGAGATAAAACCTACTGTACAGACTTCAGTGCTTCAACAAGGTTCAAACATATATTGCATGTAAAAAATAAAAAATTAAAACAACCCCACACACAGTAAATGTTAACACACATGTTAGGGCTCAGAAAATGATGCTCCAAAGTATGTACTTTGGCATGCTGAGTACTTTCAACCAAAGGACATTGGAAGGCCTCAGAAGCAGCCTCAGGACTAGGGTCTATCTGACCTTCTCCTTCCTGGCTGTCATTGGCCCCTCATTCTTTCTAGAAGTGAGTCATAGTAACCAGAATGCTTCTTCCCCAAGGTGGATCATAGAAACTAGGACCTGTTTCCTGCAAAGCCAGCTATAAAATCTGGAAATATTACTTTTACCTTCCTCTGCCTTTCTGTGTAGGAGCTGAGAATAAGTTCTTGGACTTACCTTGTCTGATTGTAGGTCATAAGATGCTCATTCCAGAGGTGTCCTGCTCTCTGTACATGTGAGGAAAGAATGCTACACAGAGAGGCCAAGAAGAATCTGAACACATAGGCCTTGTTGGGTTTTCCCACTCAATTACCATTAGGTTATATTCTTGTCCAATCACATTTCTACACAGCTGCCCATTCTTCATCGAACACAAACATAAAAATAGACAGTTTTTCCGTGAATCTTTGAGGTCTTCATTCTAAAGTCTCTGTCATGTAGAAGTTTGATTAAAGAGCTATGTTTTTATCTTGTTAACCTGTCTTTTGTTATAAAAGTGTTGGCTGTGACCCTTATGATGTGGAGGAAAAGTATTATACCCTTTTTGTTCCTACAAATGCTACCAATAAAGAGAATGATGATTGTCATTTTTATATTCCAATTATGTCTCCAGCAATTTTTGAATAATTTCCAAAGAGAAATAAACTCCAAGTCTCAAATATTACCCTCCAAGCAATCCTCTGCAAAGCTGACAAAAAAAAAAAGGAAAAGAAATTCTAAGAGAATTTACTCATTATTTCAAACTTCCCTTCTTCCATGACATTCTGTGATGGTCAGAAAGAGTTCTCTAGTCTCCACGAGACCTGCAACCATATCTTTGTATAATAAAAGATGCTTTGTTTTGGCCAAGTTCTAAAGTATATTATTATTTATAGACATTTTCATGAGTGCCATTTTTGATAGAGGTTGTTGTATTCACAATTGATAATGGATAGAGGGATGGACATGATTGTTTTAGAAATATGGCTTAGTCAAAAAGCAAACACATATAAAGAAGATTCTTTATATTTCTTTGCCCAGGATTTTACACGTACACACATGCACACACATACACATTTTAAATCAAGTTTATTCACCACCTATCTCTAGCTTCCTTGAATAATTCAACCGTTACAGAAAAAAATTCTAAAAATATTCTTTCCTTTTGGATCTGAAATATATTGATATAATTCAATTGCATCTACCCAGGCGTTCTTCAGTTCAATAGCCTCCTGAATTTGTTGTTATTGTTGCTCTGAAAGTTAATGGGGTGTGGAGTGAACAAAATGTTTGTGTAGCAGTGAGGGTTTCTAGAAAGAGGGATTCTACTTTTCCAAATATGTATGTAGGAGGTTTTAGTATTTGTGTTATTTCTGAGTTCTTATAGTGGTTTAGTGGAGTGATTTAAAATAAGGTCAGCCCAGAGTAGTTTCCGCAACATAAAGGATAGTTTTGTTGAAGATCAAGTTTATCCCCTGCTTCTTTTACTGCTACCCAATACAGCAGTCCTATTTCTTAAGAGTTCACATTTCCTTCTTTTACAATGTTAGAGGAAACATATTTTTGGGGTGTTCTGTCAATATACCAGTGGTGAACAAAATCTAAACTTAAATATGGGAGTAATATTTCCAGTGAAACTGCAAAAGGAGTCAACAGCCAATTGAGTTGCAATTAGAATTTTATTTTCCACCATTTCCCAAAATAAATTTGCTGACAAGAATTCAAATTTTCATTGTCAATAACTGTAGACAACCAAAAATAAACCTAGTCATGGAACTCTGTCTTTCAATTTGAAATGCATTAAATCTGATTACATATTCATAGTCTTAGAAACTTTTCTGTTTTTATCCTCTGGTTATTTGAGAAATCATTGAGTAAGGTATTGTCAAAGAATTTTTGTCGGCGGAAAGGAGAAAAATAAAATAACTTTCTGTTGTGACTTTCCATTGTGTACATTCAATCACTTAATCACTTTTTACCACTGCCACATATAAAACGTATTGTGATAAAGCTATTTGGGCTAGAAAATGGTAATGGCATAAACTGAAGTCTTCTAAAGGTTTCTCTCTATAGTTCAAGAATCAAAACATGAACATATCCGTGACCAAGGTGGCCTCGGCTTGGCTAAATTTAGACAGATTTCTTCCTGACTAAAGGCCCCAGGCCTTCCTTTCCTCAGAGCATCTGAGCATTTACTTTAGAAAAATTGCAGTCCTAAATTGTCTCTCTGTCCTTTTGAGATGTAAATCTTCTTCTAGCTTCTTGCCAGTTTTACAACACAGGAATATCTTTCTTGAGGACCTGGGATCCAACATTTGAAATGTATTTATTAAGAGGAAAGACAGAGCCCCATCTCCCAGTCTATGTGAGAAGGTAGGAACCTAACTTTGATAAACATCAATTAGCAAACAGATTAGGCCGTAGAAGGCCTCATCTCACTAACCAACTTCCCTGCTAACTTTCTCCAGTACTTTGCAACTGCCTCATCCCAGTGCTTAAAAATTCTCCTGCCTTTTGTTTCAGCGAAGTTGAGTTCAATCTCTTTCCCTTATTTTTATAGTCTTGAATAAAGTATTCCTTGACTGTTTCTCTTGTCCTATGCATTTTTTTATTTGACAATGCAGTAAACACTTTTAGAATGTTTAGTGGATATTTCTTACTTGCAGCTGCACAATCTCTGAACGCCTTCTATTTGGGAAAATTTCAAGGAAGACAGACAGGGTTTTACCTTCCACAGTGAAAACTGAGGAGAGGGACATATTTGTTGTTGTCTAGGTAGGTGTTTGGTAGCTCTGTGTGGGCTTCTGACCTAACCTCACCTTGGGCTACTCTTTGCTGGGGCTTTGAATCTGGAGTGGTTTATGTAAATAAGCAGGGGCCAGTCTGGAAACCATTCTAGGAGCAGTAGCAGATGCAGTGAAAGGAAAGACTGTAACTTCTCTGGAAGCAGGAGTGTCACCAGTGACCCTGTGGCCATGGTTGTTTCCATAACTCTGATGTGGTCTTGAATGGCGACAGGACTTTGGCAGTTATTCTGGGTGTCAACTTTCCACCAATTTTTGCATTTTGACTCTTCAACTTTCCACCATTTTTTTTTCAATTTGGCATCCCTTTCAAATAGTTTTCATCCTCTTTGAATAATCCAATGTTGGTTTATTTTGTTTGTAACCAAAATCATAGCTAATAGAGATGACCGAAGTATTAAATACCATAATGGCTATGGGAGATGTAGTGGACCTGTCACTAGACTTGGGATTGGAAAGCCTTATTTGTAATTCTTGCTTTGCAGTTCTCAGTTGTATGTGACATGGATCATTAGCTGAGCTTCGCTATCTTTTTGACTTTCAGTGGCTACTCCAAAAATAATCACACAAGGCAGGATTTCATCTATCCCTAATATTCTCAGAAGGTTCATCAGTGGCATGATGACAGAAAAAGTGCTACAAAAGGTAGGAATTGGGGAAAATTATTGTGAATTGAAATATCTGAGAAAGGATTTGCAATCCCAGCTTTTCTAGCATATACTTAGTTTTCTTTTTTTTTTTATTAGATGCACATTCAAGGATCTTTCTGGCTACATACAGAAAATTTGAAAAATAAAAGAGAAATATTATTAATAGAGGCTTTAAAATATATTAGGGGGGTAAAAGGAGAAACTACAATTTAGAGCAGTTGCCCTGGCAATGGCAGTGCAAGCTGCATCCATTGTTTCAAGTATTAATCAGTCAACTTGTTATTGAAAGCTTGCCACTAGAAAGACATTATGTAATGGGTGAGACAGAAGATATGCAATACTCTCCCTTCCCTTAAAACATAAATACATGATGACAAAAGCTATGAGTCAAATTTCTCCCTATTTATCAATATATAGCTCTACCATGCATGCCCTGTGGCCCTAAACAGAAGGAGCCTGATTCTCATCCTGCTTTTGCATATGCCTTGATACAAAGATAAAACCTAAAACGACGGCATTAGGTTACCTGGTGTAGGGTAATAACTCAGGGCATGAGTCTGGCATTCACAGAAATGAATTCAAGTCTTTATCTCATTAATGTATTAGCTTTTGGCTCTGATTAAGCCACTTAACTTCATGAAACTTGTTTCCTCCCTACCTATAAGAAATGCTAATAATTCTTAATGCCCATTATTGTCATATGTATCAAATGAAATAATGCATATAATGCATTTAGCAAAGTGTTTGGTGTTCAATGACTGTTCCTTGAATGGTTCATAATTATTCTTTTACATTATACATACATTTAAAAATCATTTCTATGACTCATTAGGTAGCATAAGCTGGGAGTGTCATAAAGCTAGAAATAAGCACCCAAAGGCTTGTGGGAAAATTGGAAGGCAGCAAATCCTGCTTAAAAGTCGACAGATACAGATTGTGTGAGGAGGCAGGTGGCAAGAGGTAGTGAAGGATAAGAGGAAAATTTGATTCTGAAATTCATATGTTTTTTAGAACTCCCCCCCCCACCCCTAAGTATGAGTTCAAGGAAAGAGAAAATTTACAACTAAGTCTACACACACTGTTACCTAGGAAACCAAGCCATGTAGCATATGCAACAAACACCAGTAAAAATAAGCCTGAAGTATGTTTCCTAAACCTGGAAGAAGAGTTACAGGGTTTAGACTTATGACGTCTCTCTTGTGTACTTCAAAGTTAAACAAAAATGTGCCATCTGACCTTGGCCTTAAGAATAATTATAGATGGCTACAAAGTTGTGAAACTTGATGATGTCACCTTAATACAAAAAAATCCAAGAAATTTCAAAATCATCTCTTTTCTTAGGTAAGTAAAACTGAGAACTGGAAAGCTGTAGGAAGACTAGCCAAGGTCCCCTGGTCTCATGCTCTTGCTCTGTCTTCTCTGCCTTCTCTGTACAGCTATTCCTTCTCTCCATAGACTGGCTTTTTCTATTTTTCCATATATAAAGCAGCTACTCTCCACCTTCACTTCTCAGGTTTGCATCCACCTAAGTCCAAACAAACAGTCCTGATGGAATTACAGTCTTTCTCTTTCTCACTTCTAAATTCCTTGGAAGGAATTTCCAACTAGCCCAGGGCAGTTGCCTCTCCTTGATCATCTATGGCCAGGGAGCAGGAAGGACCCTGTTGGATAGCCCTGGTAGTACTCTATTTTATTTTCCTGGAGCATGGGGAAAGTGGGCATGTTGAGTGAATCTGTTATCAGAAGAAAGAGTATTATTAGGAGAGGGCAGGAACCTCAAATGATTGAGACTTCTTGTAATTTGAGTAGAATGATTGTGCTTTTAATCATGTCAGACTATCAGGACTAATTTAATAAATGGTCAAATGCCAATACTTTTTGACATGCAATAATTTGAAATTTAGTTGGGAAGATTATGGTTGTAAATCATGGGTCTCCACAATTGAAACAAAAATAAGCATATAAGAGAAAAATGATTCTCAAAACAAACTTATCAGAAGATAATAAAGGCCTTCACTATCTGTTGCCTACATTATGCTTACAATCAGTATGTTAGCTTGAACCTTCTGCTGATTCACAGCACCCTAAAATAGAAAATGAGATATTTAATGTAATTTTTGTCCCTATTTTAGGGCTTTTAGCCAGGCAAAGTTGAATGATGATAACTCACTCAAATAATTTGGTGGAAATTCTCCCTGGGAGATGAATATAAAGACAAATTCCCTCAAGCCTATGAAGATCAATTAAAAGTGGAAGGAAATTGGGATACATTTCATCATGTATTCATTTTTCGTTAGGCTACAAAACCATAAGAAAAAGTAAAAACTTGATTTTGCAACAGAACTGTTTCCTTTCTAAAAAAGTAATTTTTATTCAGGAATGCTTTGTCACGATCAGTTCAGCTAAAATGCCAGTGTTATACATGTTAAGTACAACCCATACAAAGTTTGGCAAACATTTGCATTACATGTGTTGTATTTAGTTAGGACAGCAATTAAAACAGGAAGTAAATAAACTGTATATACATATCTCTCTGTGCATAAATATAAGAGGATTTATTACCCATTCTGGGAAGAGGGTTGCAGGAGACATTAATATAAAAAATTAGAAAAGCATTGAAGATTATTTCAAAGAACATTTATGTTTCCTTGAAATGACTTCTTAATGGGATTTTCAGAACTCTCTGATGCTGAAGATGATCTAAGGCCGAAGATAGAAATATAATCACAGTGCTACACGCCTAGGCATTTGCTTACAAAGCGGGAAGTGGAATGTCTGTTCTGCACTGTCCCTAGTAGGAGAATAATAAGATTTCTGTGAAAGGCCCATTCAAATTTCAGCCACCACGCACAGTTTCTTTTCATCACTTATTGATTGGTATTGTAAGATCCTCATTTCTTTATAATGTGTAAAGGACTAGAGAATGAGAATTGTAGTTAGTATCATTTCCACTTACACTTACCAAGTGGATTTAATGGACATTAAAGATTGAACACACTGTAATAACATATTTCCTCATTGTTTAATCATTAATAATACTTGACAGAACTTTGTACATGTTGTAGTGTCAAAATTAAATTTTAATCATGGGAACATTCTATAAAGATCCAATAGTATCTTAAATAATACTTAACTAAGCACAGGAGAGCAGTACTTACAAAAGGAAATACTAAATGTTATGCTAAACTGGCTTCACACCATGTTTTTAATCTTCTTGATCTTTGTTAACTGCACAATTCTAATTTAGAATAAATGAGCAGATAGTTCATTTTGGCAAGAAGACAATAGCAGGAGCTATAAAAGGTTTCTGAAATTCCCAGGCAATAATTATTTTACTATACTTGTATCTGCAGAAGGGATTTGCACTAAGTTCTAATTGGAACTTGAACCTCCAACTACCTTAAGCTTTGAGGTACATGATGAAATTTTTTTGAGAAATCGCATAAACCAATAATTTTGTATTAATGCACATTTGTAAATAGTGTAAAAGTGTTTTATAAGAATAACAGAAGTGGCTGGAAAATAGGAGTTTGCCAGTAATTAATAAAAAATAGTTGGGCCGGGCGTGGTGGCTCACGCCTGTAATCCCAGCACTTTGGGAGGCTGAGGCGGGCAGATGACGAGGTCGGGAGATCGAGACCATCCTGGCTAACCCGGTGAAACCCCGTCTCCACTAAAAATACAAAAAATTAGCCGGGTGTAGTGGCGGGCTCCTGTAGTCCCAGCTACTTGGGAGGCTGAGGCAGGAGAATGGTGTGAACCCCGGAGGCGGAGCTTGCAGTGAGCCGCGATCGTGCCACTGCACTCCATTCCAGCCTGTGCGACAGAGGGAGTCTCTGTCTCAAAAAAAAAAAAAAGAAAAAAGAAAAAAAACAGTTAAAACATACTTTAGTTAAAAGAGGAGTCAAGCCGAATCAAGTAATACAGATATGGATAATTTATTTTGAAAAATTCCACTGACCATAATCCAGTACTGTGCATTACATTTCACTGAATAGTTTCCTATCCACTGAAGGTCAGGACTGGGCTATACCCGTGGAGTATCTGGGTGTTTATTTGGTGAGCTTCAAGCAACACTAATACCTTTCAACATTCAGCTGTAGCATTTATTGCTTAGCATTTTCTAACATAAAAAGTGAAACCATGTTGACATAAAAATGTAAGCATACTTAATAGACAACACAAAATTAAAAATTTGAAATAAATTGTATTTTAGTTGACATCATTGTATTCATGTAAGTACACAGTGAATATATTATGGGAGATTTTAATAACCTTGAGAAGACTGATCTTTCCATACAATGGCCAGGCACTACGGAATCTTTGACTGCCGTACTGATTAGGATTTAGTCAACTCAGGATCCTGCAGGGGTTCTCAACTTGGAGTGCATGAAATCACAGTTCTGTTGAAAGAAGTTAAGGAGTTCATGAACTTGCGGAGTAAAGTTTTTACATCACTATTTTCTATATATTGCTCATTCACTATGTAAACGTCGTGTATCAAGTACATAGGAAAAAATAAAGTTATGATGATTGTGGGGTTTACCTCATAGGATTTGGGGATGCCTATGCGAATATTTAAATCGCTTATCACAACGTTTTTCACATAATGAAAATTCTACAAGTGAAACCTGTGTTGATTATTTATAGTAATGGTAAGCCTAAATTGGAAGAGTTTTTGCAATTGACACAGTCAAAACATATTCCAAGTACTCCAATAGGCACCAGTTTTCTAAAATTAATTAAAGGATGAAAATACCAATCAGTGCATTAAGAAGGGAAACAATATTAAGAGTACAGGGCTGGGTGCAGTGGCACACACCTGTAATGCCAGCACTTTGGGAGAATGAGCTGGAAGGATAGCTTGAGGCCAGGAGTTTGAGACTAGTGTGGACAACACAGAGCGATTCTGTCACCACAAAAAATACAAAAATAATAACATTAGCAGGGCATGGTGGCATGCACCTGTGGTCCCAAGCTGCTTCGCTTAAAGAAGAAAAGAAAAGAAACGTATATTTACCTTACAGTTCAGGGAAGAGGACCACTACCTTCTTTTGGAAATGATTACCATCATCACTGAGATAATTTAATCTGTGTTATACCATGGCTTCTTCCACTTGCTCAGACAGTCACATCCATGGATGTAAGATCATTCCTAGAGAAAGTTAAGGCTACAGTTGTGTTAGGATTCCACAGCTGTGATGCTGTGGAAACATAGACTATAAATTGAGCTATAGCCATAGTTACAGAAAATTTTATAGACCACTTTTTATCTTTTATCTGAACAAGTTGTTATTGCCAACCAATCAACTGGCTTAGAATAAAACCAGATTTTAGCTGGAATATTATCAGAGACATTACCACATAACCTTGAAATATATAAATAGGAAGAATATCAAATCTTAGTCTTAGACTGTCTTGATCTTTCCCCTTTCTCACTCCCAGGGGAAAAATATCAGGACTTCCTATCTTTTTGGGTACTTGCAATAAAACCAAGAATACATTTTTAAGTAATTGTGGCTTTATTTTTGACATTTAACAAATAAAAATTAGAGTAAGAGAATATTTCTTTATCTAGCAGCAAAATTTGTCTCTGTTTCTCTCTCTTTCTCTTTTACTTCTATCTGAAAGACTATCCATTTAAGTTCTGACACATTTAAAAGGCTTATTGATGAATTTTCTGACTACCCAGATCTGGAACTGCAGTTGGGATAGGAGTGATTGGTTACATAAAAGAAGTCACATTCTAAACACAGGGATTACAAATAGGAGAGAAATTATTTTTTAAAATAAATAAATAAATAAACCAGTGGTAAGGCCAAAATAATGGAAAATGAAAAATAATTAAGCTAATCAATAGATGTCCACTACTTAATTTATGTGACTAGTTGTTTAATTTAAATGTTAAAATATGTTGTTGATTGCAATGAAAAGATACAATAACCTTTAATACATTTGCTAAAATATTGAAATTAAGAAGCTAATGAAGTAACTACTTGTTTGAGCTTTAGGCTGTGGCCACATATGTCAAGGAAATTATAAGGAGATCATTTCTTCTTCCTAATTCTCAATGTTAAATTCCTAAATAGGCCATGTTCCTTGTGTCCCTTGTGGGAGGAGTGAGAAAGTAGTGATGATTTATTTCTGGTTCATATTTAGATTACTGATCTCCTGAATGGTGGTTTCCTCCTGGAGTTTCTATTTTGGCTATATCTTGAATTTTGTCTGTTGCCTTCTGTTACTTTCAGGTTATTTAACCTGATTCAGCAAATGCTTTCAATAGTAAATATGCTTTTATGTCCTGCTTATCTATGTGGGTTTATATCTTTGTTTAGTTATAGCATCAGCATGCCTTACTTTCTTAGTTCATTGATAGATTTGAAATGAAAAATATTTAAAATATTTTTCCCAGGAATTTTAGTTGTTTTCAAAGAAAGAGAGTTGGCTGGGTGCGGTGGCTGATACCTGTAATCCCGGCACTTTGGGAGGCCGAGACAGGCTGATCACCTGACATCAGGAGTTCAAGACCAGCCTGACCAATATGATGAAACCCCGTCTCTACTAAAAAAACAAAAATTAGCCGGGTATGGTGGCATGCCCCTGTAATCCCAGCTACTTGGGAGGCTGAGACAGGAGAAGCACTTGAACTTCGGAGGTGGAGGTTGCAGTAAGCCGAGATCATGCTGCTGCACTCCAGCCTGGGCAACAAGAGTGAATCTCCGACTTAAAAAAAAAAAAAAATGAAAGCAAGCAAGAAAGAGAGTCTACCTTTGTACCTAGTTCATCGTTTTACTAGAAAGTGAAGTCTGGAAGTCAATTTTTAACTTTGATTTGTTGACCATGGCAACAGTTCTTTTTTTTGCACATGTTTCTTATGTTTTAGAAAAATTATCATTGACTGTTGTAGAAAGAGTTACATTGACACTTAGTGATTGAAGAAAGAGAGATAATTTAGGTAATAAATTCAATTGTCTAAGTAAGAGCTATTGAGAGTATAAACTAAACCTGGGTTAGATGAAATGAAGAAGAGGAAACAAATCCTAGAGAATCAAACACTTTTGAGTACAGAGATACAGGTGCATCAGCCCTAAGAAACTAAACACTTTATCTTGAATCCACATTTCTGGAAAATATCACGTAGTAGTTAGGCTATACTAAATTTAGCAGGAGGGCTTTTTGGAAGTAAATTATGTGTTGAATTGAATCATGATAAGTGTGAGCTGTTTCAAAGGTCTTTTCTTACTACAGTGGCATAGACTATTTAGTTCAATTACAGAATCAGAATTAACCTTACCAGGTGTCTTAGCAGATACAAAGTCTTGGATCTCAGCTAGTGGCAAAACTGTGGAGACTGGATGCCAATTGAATTACTCACTAGCGCCACCAAGATAAGAAAGTGTGTAATTTACCAAGTAAATATTGATTAGAGGTGTTTTGTAAAAATAATAATTTTTTGAAGACATTTAAAGATGCTCCTCAAAGCAAAGTGCACCAGCTATCAGGTGAAGGTCTGTCTTACAATTGTGTCCATCAAAATCGGAAATAACAAGAAAAAAATCTACTTAATATCTGTTCCAAAATTTGTTCCCTGGGAAAGTCTTCCTAGTGGCTCCAGGATTTATTAATCTAACCAGGTTTAATTCGTCTACGGATTTATTTCTGCACTACACAGTTAGTGTATTCTTCTAAAATAAGTTGTTTTCTCACCACAAACATTACAAATTGATCTCTTTGGAGAGGCAGAGTAATGGGAAGAGTGGTAACTTTGGAGACATTCAGACTGTGACACATTTGCTGGTTTTGAATCCAGCTCCATCAAGTCCTAGTGGAAAGACATTTTTCAAATGTCTCATTTCCTCTGGGCCTCAGTTGCCTAACATATTAGGGAAAAATGTTCTTACTTTGGGGGATTTTAAAAATTTGAGATAATATAAATCAACAAGTACAGTGGCTGACGTGGAGATTCTTGTAGGATGGCACTATGTCTGAAAATAAAATAATGGAAGTTATACAATTTCCTGAAGTAACAGTTTTTTTAAATCTGTTATTTGAGAGAATTAAACAATTGGATTTAAAGCCTAATTTACTTCAAAGTCTGTTTCTATGATGCTCCTGAATCCAATTCATATATACAATAATGCTAGATTTAAATAAATGACTGAATAAAAAACATATTGACTATTAGTTGTTAAAATACAAACAGCTGAATTTAACTTTCTTTAATTAAATTTTGAACTTTGGTATTTTAAGTTCCTTTTCTTTATGTGTACTGTGGATTTTTAAAGTTCTGCATACAAACTGATTTTTCATAAAATTTTTCCATTTAAATACTTCTATGTATGTGTAAACAGAAAAAATTCTGCTGTGGATAAGGAAAATCTTTTCTATTTTAAAAATTTTATCACATTGCTATGACAACCTAAATTTTCAAATTACAAAATATAGGATGGAGAATTTTTCTTCCATCTTTATTACCCATAAAGAGAGGTATTAGAGCTTATAAGATAAAAGGAAAGGGAAAGAGAAAAAGAGACAGTGAAGAAGAGGAGGAAAAGCTTAGTCAGGCAGTGCTAAGTGTGCGAATGTATATCATAATGACATGGTATAGAATGATGCACAGATTGAAGAGATCCTGGAATATGTAGAAGGAAGTAGCAGAAGAAGCAGAAAATGTCAGTATTTGCGCTGGTCTGTGGAGACATTAGAAGGAAAAGGTTTATGTTGAACAAGAAGATAATGTTTTTCCCAAAGCCATGAACAAGCAGTTATTGAATTCCTATTTTTTGCACTATGCTAGGCATTGCATGTTGCACAATTGGATAAAAGTCCTTGATCTTAAGAAGCTCAAATTTAAGATGTATGGGAAGGAAAGAACTAAGGAGAAATGGAGAAGGAAAAGAGAAAGGGAAAAATGGAGGAAAAGAGGAATAAGGGAATGAAGGGAAGAAGTAAAGATCATAAAATTAGGGGAGGACGTGCAAGAGAAAATGGAGAAACGTTGTTTTCCATGGAGTAACATTCAATGCAGGACTAGAGGAAGCAATGAGGTAATATTAGTGTAAATATATTGAGGAAAATCTTCTCGATTATTAAATTACATAGTTTTTTTTTCTGCCCCTTTCCCAGTAAACTACTCTTTTATATAGAAAAAACAAAAATCCAATGAAGTAAGACAGTCTACTTTATTCCAAAGGGAACTAAGTCAGGCTTTGTCTCTCTTCATTTGCAGGTTTTACTTGATACAGTTTATTATGTCATGGTAACATTCGTAATAAAATGTGATAATGCTACTAGACAAGTATTATGTACATAAAGCAGGCCTATTTTAATAGGTTAATAACTGTAATACAGTAGTTGAAATCATAGGCCAGAATTTATGTTTCTACGGTAAGAGAACTCATCATAAATAGCATTAGTTCTGCCAATTTTCTGCATAATTTTCTATCATATCTTTTAAATAATCCAAGAATATTTTCTGGTGGAGAAACAAAATGAATACCTTAACAGTAGAGATCTTTGATCCATGGAAACTGTATGGTATAATGAGAAGTATGAAGTCCTTGAAATCTAAGTCAAATCCTGACATGACTCCATTCAGCTGAAGTCATGTGTGATCTTGGGAATGTTACTTCACATCTCTGAGAGTCATTTCTCCATTTGCTAAAAGTAAATGATAATATCTGCCTCATAAGACCCTGTAGGGATTCTAAATTATGCAATTTGCTAAAATCCCTAGCATATGATAAGCTTTCAATATGTGTTACACATTTTACTGTTACTCTTTGTCTCCATCCAAGCCTATTAATCATTAAATTTCTAATCTATTTCTTCATTTGAATAAGAAAAGAATGTAAAGCAGATTGTTCCCCTGCAATTTAAAATATATCACTCACATCACTTGGTGCTCACAACAAAATGACCGTTCTTCACCCTGCCTAATGACCTGTGTGATGTGATACCCCCTTACTTTACCAAACCTGCCATCTACTACTGTCCCATGCACTGTCTTACAGCCTCTCTGGATGTCTTTCTGCATTTCAAATTTATCAAGTTCCTTTTCTCCTAAGGGCTTGTGCCCTTGTTTCTCCCTTCCTCTAAAATGCTCTTCCTTTAGTCCTTTCCATGGCTGGATAGTTCACAAAATTTAGATCTCAACTCAAATTTCATATCCTTAGTGATGCCTTTTTTGCCTGTGCAAATACAATGACTTCCTAGTTCGTTCTGACCCACCAACTTGTTTGTTACATTCATGGTACTCATCATAATCTATAATCATGTACTTTTTTATTGGTTGATATTCTGCTGTCATTACTCATTAATAATATATTAAAAGGTGAAAGACAAAAGGCAGGCCTGTGCCAATAGCTATAAAATTTCTCAAACTAAGGGATCCACAGCACACTTCAGATTTTTCTAACCCCAGAATGGGAAGCAATTTGATCAAGAAAAATTCTACTCCTTTGTTTTTAAGATACTAAAAGTCTAAAAGGTGAATGAGCCAAAAGGAAGGAAACAGGTTTCCCAAGCAGGAGAAACATTTGCAAAAACCTTCTATGGAGACAAGAGAGATGAGAGAGACTATGATGAGTATGAGAAATTACAGAATTTAGCTTAGATGAAGGATTTTAGTGGAGAGGGGACATAGTATGA
Organism: Homo sapiens; assembly: GCF_000001405.40. Taxonomy (NCBI): domain Eukaryota; kingdom Metazoa; phylum Chordata; class Mammalia; order Primates; family Hominidae; genus Homo; species Homo sapiens. Next base: position 51,339,145 of record NC_000002.12, read on the forward strand.
ATTGATATTGGAGAATAAGCTGAGGGAAATGAGAGTCATGGGGTTACCTGTAAGCATCAAATAATAGATGTTAAAATAACTTCAGATAAGATAAAAATGATTTAAGTGTAAGGCATTCATTCATTTTAGAAGGAAAGAGAAGCAAAGAGAGGTGCAAATAACATTGGTTCCAGCAAAGTCTACTGAGATGATGGGTTTGACTCTACTAGAAACAAGTGATTTTGAGTAAGTCACTTAAGGATTGAAGACACATGTATAAGGAATAAGCAACTGAATCGGTGATTTTTAAAGTTTATATTCTGCTTTAAAACTCTGGACATATACAGTACAGTCTAGCACTTGCCCATCATTCTTTCTTGCAAAAACTTTCAAATAAATGATAATGAATATTTTGTCTTTTGTCTAATCTTAACCATCCTTGTAGATTTTCACTTCCTGTATCTCATTAATGTTTATCAATTGGTTATTCCTTTTATTATAAAATAGCACCTTCTTATGTATGGCTTGTAGGAAGACAATGATAAAATTTCTATGCCTAGTGTATAACCTCATATTTGTTTTATGATTCTTTATATTAATATTTGAACCTGCCCTAAGTTCTAAACTCATATAGTAGTCTAGAAACCCTGTCCATGTGTATAACATTTAGATTTCTGTTTCAAAAATATAAATGCATGTTTACTAAAGTGAAAAGAAACTGATGAACAAAGTAGAACAGAAATTGTGATTGAGGTCACATCAACAATTTCAACAAATCAACAAAGGCATTACAGGGAATGAACTTAGTTCCTTCCTAATAGCATTTCGGCTGGTTTCCATATTGCTCTTTTTTTCTGTTATTATGCGGTTAATGCAATCTAATTCAGTAATGTCTTCTGAATGATTAAGCCATTTATGATTGAACCTGATGAAGGAAATGAGAAAAGCCTCTTAAACATCTAAATAGGATAATTTGTATTAACTGCTGTAAATCACAATCAGAATGCTATTGAAGTCAACATTTTACTCAGGTACAAATATTTCTAGAATTGAGAATGTTCATCAATATTTGTAATGAAACTTAGAAAAGAAATTAGGACTCTTGACATTATAACTATTTTTATAGTTTGCAGAGTTTTCTCTCTGAATATTTTGTGGTGCTATTAGTGCTCCCTCTTCACGAACAGCAAGTGAAAACATTAGGCTAAGCAGTGAATTGTTCATGCCAGTGCCCTTCCATATATCAAAGGGAGAAAAATAGACATCATAGAGAGATAGGATCTGATATACAATGTTTTGCAGAATAATTCATGTTATGAAGTGTGTAGGAAGGTACATCAATCTGCAAATTAGTTAGAATTTATCTTTTTTTAATTTACCACTTTTTAAAAATATATTTGTCATTATTTTTAATGTTAATGAACATTTTCCCTCATATACATTTAACAAATATTAATATATTTGAATAATAAACATGAATTAATTATTCTAGAATGTTTTCTTCTGTTAAAATAATCCCTGAATGTGCTTTCACAACTCTCACACTTTTAAATAATTTGTACATGGTCAAAGATGAGCACTGTACTGATTTTTTAAAAATCTAGAACGAGAATCTGTGTCGTAACCTATACAAATGGGGACATGACTCCAGGCTTTGGTTCCAGGCTCAGTTGATGCCAGGCAAGATTAATGCATATCTGCCACTGCACTTTGATGAATAGAATACTCATCAGTGTGGGTTGTACAATAACAAGGCTGCGTTGTGTTGTGATAAGGTGATATTATAGAACGTTTGGGGCTTTTTATTTAGATGCTTTACATGCTTTTGTGTGTGTGTGTGTGTGTGTGTGTGTGTGTGTGTGTGTGTGTGTGTGACAGAGTCTCGCTCTGTTGCCCAGGCTGGAGTGCAGTGGCAAGATCTTGTCTCACTGCAAGCTCTGCCTCCCGGGTTTAAGCAATTCTCCTGCCTCAGCCTCCCACGTAGCTGGGATTACAGGTGCGTGCCACCATGCCCGGATAATTTTTGTATTTTTAGTAGAGACTGGGTTTCACCATCTGGCCATGCTGGTCTCAAACTCCTGACCTCGTGATTCTCCTGTCTCAGCCTCCCACAGTGCTGGGATTACAAGCATGCGTCACCGCGCCTGGCCTTAGAAGCTTCTTATCTAAATATGTATTATCTACAAATATTTATATAAATATTTTTAAAGTTTAAATATATGTGCAATGAATTACTTTAAAAGAGGATATTTCACCGAGGTAAATAAAATAATTTTCCTTGAACAAGATTTAAAAAATAATGAGGGGGTAAGGTCAATTAAGATTTGTATAAAGTGACACTACGAAGACCTGTTAATTCTTCAACGAGTGCTGATAGAACATAATCTGTATAAAATGAAAGAACACAATAAATCCCATATTTCTGCACAGTCTCTCAAAGCAAGCATGTGTGCTCTGTAGATTTTATGCAGTTCTGCCCTTAGACCTAGGCAAGCAGGACTTCTGTCTTGGATCCTATGCCTCTGGGGGCTTCATGTTTCAGAATACCTTCTTTGAAGTATTCTAAATTCCTTCCCCTTCAGTGTCTGGGACAGGGCCAGGCTAGTGGTACTTTCTGGATAGGGTACCTTATATTTGGACTAGGAGCCACATGGGCCCTGGGGAGCTCTTCAACCCTTTGTCTCGTGTGTAAAGTTGGCCAGCTACCCTGGTAGCTCTGGGACACATTCATTCCTCTGGGGCTGTCCAAAGACCTTGCAGTCAGGTCTCAATTGTAGTACGGTACCACTCTGACGGAACCATGTTAAGACTGAGTCACCAGTATGGTTCTGACAAGGTTAACTTATGTGGCTTAAACTGTATATGTAGATAGGAACACCACAAAAAGTTCTTGTCCAGGGTCTTGAATACTCTAGGGGCAACCCTGATTACATGCCATTAAAGCTTAACTTTCCTGTTGATAAAAATTATACAATCTTCAATGTGATTCATGCTACACATTTGAACAATAGATCTGTGATACCTGACAAGGTACAATGTCATTTTGAAGCAAACACAGTGAACATGAAAATAAATCTCTTGGTTTCTTTCATCAAAAATAAAACAAGCTAATGTTTTGAAACATTATGCCAATAAATTTTGAAGCCAACGATGAAAATGTTATTTCACCACTACTCAGGGAAGTTACTACATCACACATCAGGAAGAAGCATACACAATTAGGAAAAAATAAATATTGAATCTGTCCTAATGATGGAGTGGTTTTCTTGTGAACTTTTGTTACAAAACAAGCCAGTCCGAAACCCAGTGGCTTACAGCAACAGCCATAAGTTATTTTACTCACATGTCTTCAATTTGAGTAAAGTTCATAAGGAATGGCTTTCATTGTTCCACACGGCATCAGCTAAAGCATTTCAGATAGGGCTGAAGGATCCAATTCCAGCATGGTTCACTTACCCGGTTAGCAAAATTGATATTGGGTGTTGGCTGAAATCTCAGTCAAGGCTGTCAGCAGGCCTCAAATCCTCTCTATCAGGGACTTTTGCTAATTGGACTTACTCATAGCATGGCAGCTGGGTTTCAAGAGTGACTGTTCCAAATGATGAGAAATAAAAACAGTCAGTATCTTCATTTTGGGGACAAGAAATTGGCTCAGTATCATTTGTGGGATATTCTGTTGGTCAAGGGAGTTGCAAAGCTCCTACTTGTGATTCAAGAGGAGAGGACAGGTACCCCATTTTTCAATAGGAGCAATGTCAGAGTATCTGTGACTAGCTTTAATTTACTACAAGACAAGCAATTAACCATAAAAATACAGTTAGAATCATTGTCTAATTTCAAAGAAATTGTCTAGAATCCAAAGGAAAACTTTCCATTCTAAACGATGTAGTGTGAATAAAAGAAGTTTAAAAATGCCTTTGCTGTTAAGGGCCAGTGAAGACACGCAACCAGAAAATGATACTGAGTCTATGGAAATAAGTAAGGTAAGTAAGGAAACTGTTGTTTCATGCCATTGCTGAGCTGTTTGGAAAACTTCACCTGGAGCTACACTGTGTCTGAAACTTACAAGTATATGAACAGCTACATTTCCCACATTGTTTAATTTCAGTGAGCTTTACTGTTAGTTGCAACTAAGGTTATACTACCTAGTACTGCCTTTTAAAATGTATAGAGCCAGGCTGGATGTGGTAGCTCATGCCTATAATCCCAGCACTTTGGGAGGCCGAAGTGGGTGGGTCACCTGAGGTCAAGAGTTCTGGATCAGCCTGGCCAACAAGGTGAAACCCCGTCTCTACTAAAAATACAAAAATTAGCCGGGTGTGGTGGCAGGCGCCTGTAAACCCAGCTACTTGGGAGGCTGAGGTAGGAGAATCACTGGAACCTGGGAGGCAGAGGTTGCAGTGAGCTGAGATCTTGCCATTGCACTCCAGCCTGGGAAACAAGAGCAAAACTCCGTCTCAAAAAAAATAAAAAATAAAATAAAATAAGATAAAATAAAATAAAATGTATAAAACCAGAGGGCCAGGAGTGAAAGTGACTCTTCAAACATTAAACAACGATGTGGCAGCAGAATTAGTACTTAATCTAGTGCTCCTTCCACCACACTGTTGTGCTTTTCCGATTTCCGTATTTCACACCTGGTATTTTCATCCTGTGCTACATTTCTGCTTATATCTTGAAGTTGCTTGAAATATTTGCTTGAATAAGGCAGGTATAAAATAAATAAATAAGTTAAATAAATTGCCGCAACAAATTCTTTAGAAGTTAACACAATTACTTGCAGATCCATTTTTATAGTGAATTTTCTTACTTATGGCCTTTGTAAAGACAAATCATACAAAGATATCTGGGTCAAATACCAGTTGTTGAATCAGTTGAAGGTCTGCAAAAGTCAGTAGTGCAGTGTTGCAATGAACAGTTTAGTGTTTTCCCTTTAAAATGTTGTCTGAGAATTGTTTTCAGATTTGAAAGTCCTGCCTAAAGCCTTTTGAAACAGATTCTTCTGAATGTAATATTTTTCTGTTCATCATTAATTGTCTTTTGGAAAATGATGTAAATGAGTTTTACCACAGGCAAGATGGGGGCTCAGTTACAATTCCTTCCAATGCTAATGGCAGATTTTTGAGAAAACAGTAATGCTTCATAAGAGGACTTCAAGTATCTAGAAAGAAATCGTGAAAATTCTTGAGTATTGAATTAATAAACCCTAATGCTAATATTATTACTATATTACTACTAAGAAAATGAATAATGATAATCCACACATTCATTCATTCATTCAAGTAGTGTTATTGAGCCCCTTGAGTTATAAGAGAGACCAAATTATGTGAAGAATAATGTACTAAGAGATTGAGGTGGGAAAGATCTTAGTATATTCCAGTATATTGGTTAACAATAGTAGCTAGCATTAATACCTTATTTATTATGTTCTTGAAACTTATAATTCTATTTGCAGGCATTTAATTCTTACCATCATCTTATCATTTAGTTTCTATGCCTATATTCTTTTTGGAGATGAAGAAACTGAAATGTTGTCCACTTCTATATGTATTTATGGTGAGACAAGTGCTTTATGGTGGTTAAATATATCACAAGGTAGTAAATAAAGAAGGCAGATTAAAAGCAAAAAGAATATCAAAGTTTTGCTGTCTGAGGTAAATAAAAATTTTTACAATAATTATCTCTGATGGTAAGCCTATATATAATATTTATTTGCTTTATAACTTCATGTATTTTCCAAATTTGTTTTTTAAATTCATTTCTTACATTTGTGTGATTTCTATAATAAAAATAGATAGTATTTAAACACTTAAAATAGGCACACAAAACAAATGTAAAAACCTAAAACTTGGCTAGATATCCTTCATATTCTGCCTACATGAGTCTAGCTTTGAATACTGCTGAGAAGGAAGACGATCAAGCCACAGGGTCAACTTACACCAATACTCAATGAGTCTTGAAAGGCTCAGGTTGGATAAGCCCCAAAATATTCAGCTGTGCAATTGAAACTTAACCCGTATCATCTAACCCTCTGAGGTTTATATTGTAATACTGAAGATAAAATATGGCTGAACTGAGTAGATAAAAGCCAGAAGTATAGTTAAACTCATTTTTTCTTATAGAATTTTGAATTTATTGGTGCCATTATTACTAAAGGCATTTTAATAATATAAATTAAAATATGAATTAAGTTATAAGCTGGAAAGTGTTTATGTTTTTACTTTTAATTACAGCTTAAAAATGGCATCAATATTTGTTTTTCCCTGTCGATATAATTGATAGGTATTTATGTAACCACACTTTCACACAGATATACACACATGCATATATATAATATATATTATATTATACATAATATATTTACTATTAAGTATTTGTATAATATATATTATGTTATATAGAATATATTTACTAAGTATTAATAGTAAATAAGACTAGTTTTTAATCTCTTATTTGTTGTTTGATTTAAAAAATCAAATAAGAGATTAAAAACTGTAGTAAAACTTTATGCATATTGCGTATCATTCAGATACTTATTTGTGTAGGTACACATACAGAGATAGCAGTTCAGCACTGTTATATGTCCATCTATTTCTCTCAGATAACACAACCTACATCAAACAAATATACTGCTTGCTCTTAGTATACATAAAATTCTGCTCTCCAAATTGATTTTTGACTAAAGGTAGTAAATATTTTTGCTTGACAATAAAAATAAATCTTTGTCATCAGTTTAAATACCTGCATACTATTTCATTATATGGCTAAATTATAATTTACTGAAATTTTCTTTTAATGATGTACATTTAGATTATCCATTACATGTCACTAGGTAAAGTACATTCCTAAAAGGAAGACAGAACAATCACCTGAAGAATTATTATGAAAATTGTTTAAATAAATGTATACCAAAAATTGGTACAATATCAGATGCACAGCAGCTAAAATATACATCTTTCAGATGAGGAATATAACCAAAGAGTCTACTATAAAGTAGGATATAATGCAGATGATCACCTTGAACACTTTCAAACTAGGACCAATGTAAGCAATTATACAAGTGAGAAATGTAGAAGATCTAAAAGCTGAGACCTAACATATATTATTTTAAAAATTAAAGGTTAGTACACAGAAGACAGATTAGGTCCTTGCATATAGTATCAGGAGATAAAGCTAAGATCAGCAGGGGAAGTTGCATAGAGAAAAATAATGGCTCTGAATTACAATGGTTCCAAACCTCTGTGGCTGAATAAAATTGCCTCAGCCACTCAGCTTCTGGCTAGAACGGAGTAACAGAGAGCCTTTTCGCTCTTTCATCCGAAGCAACCAAAAAGTCAATGAAAATAACTATTCAGTGGTTTGTAAGAAAAGGTAAATGAAACAACAAAGGACAGTGGTCACTACAAGACACGAAACACATCAGGTAAGCTCTGATTGCCCCAGCGTAAGGCCTTCAGAGGTAATATACTGTTTAAACAAACAGGCAAAAAAGAAAATGTAATATGGGATTTTTAAAAATACATTTAAAAGTAAAATGTATCCCAGTAACAACATGGACATGTGGAAAGGAGACATGGAAGTACATTATAGTAAAGTTGTTATATGTAAAATGGTATATCACTTGAAAGTAGACTGAAACGTTAAAGATGCATATATAAATGCTAAAGCAACTACATACATAACAAAGATTTATAGCAAATAAGCTATGAAAGGAGATAAAACAGAATTATAAAATATTTTCAATTTCTTTCCAAAGAGGACATAAAAACCTGTACAAAGTACAGCTGGGACAAATAGAAACAACTGTGTGCTTATAGAATAAAACCTAACAATACCAATAAATCAATTAAATAGAAAATGTCTAAATATTCCAACGAATTTGGAGATGGTCAGATTTGATTAAAAAAATAAACAAGTCCAAGCCTATACTGGCTACAAGTAATGCACTTTAAATATAGAGTCAAATATATTAAAAATTAAAGGATGGAACAAATGCCATGCCAACACCAATCAAAGGAAAGCTAGCATGCCTGTAAGATCAGGAAAAGATATCTTAGAGGAAAAAATATTAACAGAGAAAAAAATGTCCCTGATAAAAGGTCAGTTTGTTAACAGGACATAAAAATTCTAAATGTTTATGTACCTAATAACAGAACTTCAAAATACATGCAATTAAAACAGAACTTTCAGGAGAAACAGACAAATCCAAACTTACACTAAGAAGTTCAAATAGCACCTTTCAATAATGGCTGAAACAAGTAAATAGAACATTAGTAAACATAAAGATTTGAGCAACACTATTATGCAACTTGACCTTATTGACCTTCACAGAACATTGTATTCAACAAGGATAAAATATATGTTACTTTTTAATGAATACACTTCAGATTGACCACATTTTGGGCTATAAACCAGTTGTAATAAGTTTAAAGGAGTTCAAGTTATTCAAAGTATATTCTGTGACCAAAATGGATTTATATTAAAAATTAATAATAGAAGATGCTTAGAAAACCCCAAATATTGGAAGACTAAATAAAATTCTATTACCTTATGGGCAAATGAAGAAATCTAACTTCAGGGCCAGATGTATTTATTGGTGAAATCTATGCAACATTTAGGAGGAAATAATACCAGTTCAACACAAACTTTTCCAGAATATTGAAGAAGAGGGAATACTTTATAATTTATTGTATGATATCAGCGTTACTCTGATATCAAAGTTATAAAAAGTCGTTACAAACGAAGAAAAGTACAGACCAATATATCCTATAAATATGAATGCAGGCCTGGTGCACGCTTATAATGCCAACAATTTGGGAAGTTGAGGAGAGATGATTGCTTGAGGCCAGGAGTTTGAGACTATTCTGGGCATCATGAAGAGACTCTGTGTCTACAAAAAATGTAAAAATTTAGCCTGGCATGGTGGCAAGTGCCTGTAGTCCTAGTTATTTGGGAGGCTGAAGTGGGAGGATTGCTTGAGCTCAGGATTTGTAGGCTGCAGTGAGCTGTGATCACCCCACTGCATTCTAGCTTGGGTGAAAGAGCCCCCTCTCTAAAAATAAAAATAAAATGTTACATAAAATTTTAGCAAATCTAACAATATATAAAAATGATACTACATCATAACCAAGTATGCTTTTTTTTTCTTTTTTCTTTTTCTTGTTTTTTTGTTTTTTTTTTTTTGAGACGGAGTCTCCCTCTGTTGCCCAGGCTGGAGTGCAGTGGCGCGATCTCGACTCACTGCAAGCTCCGCCTCTCAGGTTCACGCCATTATCTTGCCTCAGCCTCCCAAGTAGCTGGGACTACAGGCGCCTGCCACCACGCCCGGCTAATTTTTTTTTTTTTTTTTTTTGCATTTTTAGTAGAGACGGAGTTTTACCGTGTTAGCCAGGATGGTCTCGATCTCTTGCCCTCATGATCTGCCCGCCTCGGCCTCCCAAAGTGCTGGGATTACAGGCGTGAGCCACCGCGCCCGGCCCCAAGTATGCTTTTTAATAAGATATTGGTTTAACAATTAGAAATCAATCAATGTAACATCAATTCTTGATTAAACACACACACACACACACACAAACGCACACACACACACCTCATGGCAAACTTGGAATACAAAGAAACTTCCTCAACTTGATAAAGAGCATTTATGGAAAACCCATAACTAATATATTTAATGTTGAAAGACTGCCCTATCCTAAAAACTGGCAATGAGGCAATAATATCTGCTTTCTCAATTCTATCATTATTGTACTGGACTTTCTAATTAGTGCAATCAAGTAAGGAAAAGAAATAACAGGCATCCTCGTCAGAAAGAAAGAAGTAAAATTGTCTATTCTTAGACAATATGAATGCTTTCTTAGGAATCTAACAGAATCTACAAACAAACTATTAGGACTAATAAACGAGTTTAGTAAGGTTGCCAGATACATTAATATACAACAATCCATTTGATCTCTTTGTATAAGGAACACACATTTTAAATTTGAAATTTGAAAAATATTATTTAGCATCAAAAAATGAATACTTAGGAAAAACTTGAAAACATATATAAAAGACGTATAATACCAGAAAACACAAGGCACTGTTTAGATAAGCTAAAGTGTACCTGAACAAATGGAGAGATATGTCATGTTCATGTGTCAGAAGATTCAGTATTGTTAAGATGTAAATTCTCTCCTAATTGATTTATAGGTTCAAAAAAATCCCAATAACAATTTCAGTAGCCTCTTTTTGTAGAAATTAGGCAATTGATTATAAAATTCATATAGAAATGCAAAGACCCAGAATATCCAGAACAATTTTGAAAAAGAATGAGGTTGGAGGACTAATACAACTTGATATCAAAAATTATTACAAACCTCTGGTAATCAAAACAATGCAGAATTAAGATTAAGGTAGACAAATGAATGAAATGAAATAGAGGGTTCAGAAATAGATATTTGTAGATAAGTGTTTTCCTAAGTATGGAAAAACATCTCAGTGGAGAAGTGATAGTCTTTTGAAAAAATAATGTTGAACCAATTGGCCATTTACCATTTACATGCAAGAAGAAAGAACTTTAATTCATTTCTCATAGCATATACAAAAATTGAATGAAAATGGATCACGGGTCTTAAAATTGGGAAAAGCAAAGTGAAATGAAAGATAAGAAACAACCATTATAATTTTGTGCTGGGCAAAAGTGTCTTAGCTATAACACCAAAAGTATTGCCACAGAGTTTTTGCTCTATAAAATATATGAGAATGACATAGAAGAAAAGGAAATATTTGCAAATCACATATCTGTGAAAAAGTTTGTAAATACTAGGTAAAGAACTCTCAAAACAGAATACAATATTAAAAACAGGCAAAAGATTTTACAGGAAGCTAACAAAGGAAATATTAGAATATCAAATACACACATAAAAAGATACTCAACTTCGTTAAACCCAAGGAAACACAAATTAATACAAAACTGAGGTATGAAAACAAATTATTAAATAAATAAAAATAAAAAGTTTGTACATACCAAATTTGGCCAGGATATGGAAGAGCTGGAACTCTCATACATTTCTGGTGAATGTATAATGTTGAAACTAATTTGGAAATTATCTTGGCAACTTCCTGAAAAGTTAAACATAACATATCATATGATTTACGTCACCCCACTTGGAGATATTTACTCAGGAGAAATGAAAGCATTTGTACATACTAGGGCTTATATCAGAAATATCCATAGTCCTTTTATGATAGCTGAAAAAAGAAACAAACCAAAGGCTCATCCACAGATGAATAAATAAACTGTTATCTGCTCATGTAATGAAATGCTATTTAGCAATAAAAAGGAATAAACTGTTGATATACAAAAAATAACTATGATTCATGAAAGAGGCAAGCCTAAAAAACATCATACTTTATGATTTCATTTACATGAAATCTAGGAAGTACAAACTATCATCTAGTGAAAGAAAGGAAATCACTGGCTGCCTGGGAATCGGGTAGGGAAAAGAGGGGAGGAAAGGATCACAAGAAGCACTAAGAAACTTGTGTAGGTGATGGATATGTTCATTATTTTGATTGTTATTATAGTGTCATGGATGTGTACTTATTTTAACGTTTATCCGGCCGGGTGCAGTGGCTCACTCCTGTAATCCCAGCAATTTGGGAGGCCAAGGCGGGCGATCTCCTGAGGACAGGAGCTCGAGACCAGCCTGGACAACATGGTGAAACCCCATCTCTACTAAAAATACAAAAATTAGCCAGACGTGGTGGCATGCGCCTGTAGTCCCAGCTACTTGGGAGGCTGACGCAGGAGAATTGCTTGAACCTGGGAGGCAGAGGTTGCAGTGAGCTAAGATTGCACCACTGCACTCCAGCCTGGGTGACAGAGCAAGACACCATCTCAAAATAATAATAATATAATAATAATAATAATAATAATAATAAAGTTTATCCAATCGTACACCTTCAATATGTGTAGTTAACTGAATTTGGTTATACTTCAATGAAGCTGTTAAACAAAAAACACTTCGTAGACAATGAAGTATGTTCAAAGATGGAGTAGACTGGTACAGCATTTTAAATTAAATGTGTTAGACATAAACAGCATGTGTCATATGACTATATTTTCCTTTTACATTTCCAAACAATAATATTCTAGGATGATAGCTGCATGCCACCATTTATGAGCTCATTCTTGTCAAATGCTCTCTCCATCAAAGATTTGAATTTTCCTGTGGGTGAGGAAAGTTATCATTTTAGGAAAAATAAGAATGGTTCTGATCATGTGATACCAAAACCTACAATTCAGTCCAAATATATTCACCATGTAGTGTAGCCTCTGGTTTAAAACTGAGAAAATATAATGAGAAAAAAATGCAGTGGATCAAATAAAATGAAAGGAAAGAAAGAAAAAGACAGAAAAGAAAAGAAAAGGAAAATCCTCATCTGAGAGTCATCCACCTGTCTTCCTTGCATGACAGGGTACAGGTTATTTCTTCTTTCATCAGTGACCTAGCTATTTGGCATTATGAATGGAATATGGATCTAGTGGTCTTTCTGGATGTTATAGATCTCTCCTATATCATTAGAGACTTGAATTCATACCTTTTGTGTGTTAGATCATAAAAAAAGGTGCAAACTGAAGGATAACTTTCATATATTGGATACACAATATTATATTGTATAGCATAGAAATAAATTTTTTAAATTGCTAAGGAGAAATATGTGACCTAATTTTACATAAATAAGGTCTCTAGTCTATACAGCAAATTTAACTCTGGGTAATTCAATGATTCAGTGGTCTCCTTCCTGTTAAGACTTAAAAGTGAAAAGCTCAGACAAACCCATCAAGTCAGGCCACATTTTCTAATTCCTAAAGACCCTTTAGGTTCCCACTCAAATGTAAAGTAGTATCATCTGAATCTAAAACAGGTCATTATTAGGTCACTGTAGATATTAAGCCATCTCTAGGGAGTTAAATAATAAAAAACACCCTTCAGATGTGAGGCTGGAAACTGTTTGACTTATGTTAATGCTGATGTGCACTTAGTGTTTTAGAAAAGGATTTTATTACTATCTAAAAGCAGCACTATATTAAACCCACAAATTAGCTTCTGTTCCGTTCGAATCTCATTATCTTTATGTAGGGCAAAAGTCCGGCAAGCCAGGGGCAAAATCTTACTTTCTAAATGGAGACTTCACTGGGGAAAATGATGGACTGTTAAGCCAAACAGTATTTACTGCAGAGAGTCCACATGGGACTGGGGTAAGAAGACATGAACAGTACAAAGGCATCTGTTGCCTGCTCATTGGTAGACAGGAAGATCCATTCTTTTTCCTTGGCATTTGGTGCTGCTTTCATCTTTCTAAAAATGTATTCAAAATTAATTTTTAGTTCCTTGCTTTTAAAAATTCCTTTTGGGTACTCAGTTCTAACTCAGAAACATATTCTAGCCATCACCTCTTTTCAGGCTTTTTGTAAAGATCAAGTCTTCATCTTTTCTGGGCATAGCATGAGATCACTGATTTAATACTTTGTATTTCTTTTATCTTTTCCTTTTATGATCTATCATTTATCCTAGATATTTCTTTAAAAGACCAATGGTAATAACCAAGCAAGTATGGAGAAGATATCCTTGTAAAATGTTTGTAAAAAACAAACCTGGCTAATTAAACATTATTCAAAGGAATATTTTTTACCTGATATACCTAATGTAAATTATTTGATGTATTTGTGGGGGCAGTTAGTCATCTATAAAAATGGCTAAAAGGCTTCTTTGTCCTATAATTCTGTGAAAAAGAAGAATTAATTGAATATGATTAAAAACACATTTCAGAATTAAATCTACAAAGTTTGCTATTTGGTTAAATCAATATGAGAGTGAACCACAATAATGTTATATTTGGAGCTTTTATGTTATCCCCAAATCCCTCTTAATTCTAGAATTGGCACTATATTTACTATAAATCAGAATTTTCTATATTCTTACTTTGTAAATTAAATGAATGTTTACTGAGCATTCTCTGCATTTTAGGTATGGTGATGACCACCAAGATATAATGGTGAAGAGGCATAAATGTTGCCTTTCTTGTGGAGATAAAGCTATTTTTTATGGGGAAAAAGTGTAAATAAATAAAAAATTAAATACAGTAATGGAAATCTATGAAAAGTGCTATAGAGAAGAGAAGGAAGATGCTGCAGTATATAATATCAAGGAGGGAGGCTTCTGTAGCAAGGGCGTTTCGAGAAGGACCCTTTGAAGGAGGTTAAGAAAATGATACGTAAGCTGAAACCTGATTGTTGAAAATAAGCTGGAAAAATGGTGAAAAGGGGAAGAGCAATCTAAGGAAAGACAACAAAAGTTTGAGAATCCTTTTCAAGATGAGTTCCAGGCATTCTAGAAAATGAAATAAACGCACAAGGTTGATGAGTTGTAAGCTTTGAAGAAGGGAAGAGCTGAGGTTAGGGAGATGAAAGGAGGAGAAAGTGGCATGAGATGAGTAGGAGTTGGTCAAGAAGCAGATGCAAGACCATGCATGCTTGAATTTCTCTCTTCATCTACATGTGACCCTGGCCTTACTACTTTTCATTGTATGTCCCACTGAGATAAGGCTCCTTGTTATCAATCCCTTTCTTAGTATTTGCTTATGCTGGCACACACCAGCATAACCTCAAGAAGGCAATTTAATCTATATTCACCATCAGTTTCTATTCACTTTAAGAAAATATACTTTTTCTTAACTATTTGGTTAGGTAAGTTTGTTTTGTAAAACTGTTGCTGAGCATTTACTTCAAAAATTTACAGGCTCCCTCCTTCGTATCATCAGGTACCTAATGAAGATGAAATAAAAGCTTATAGAATGAGTGGAAAAAATGGGAGGCAATAGCAGTAGATATCCACCTCCTCCATCTTCCTGCTGCCATCCCTTCACCCTTGGCCTTGAAACAGAAATTTCTCAAGGGCCTAGCTCCACTTCCCCTTAACTGAGCCAGATGACAATGCCTCCTTCTGAGCAATGCTTTAGTTGTATGGGTCACTCTCTTCCTGCACTGGAGAGGGTCAGAGGGCTGAGATTAGTTCTCAGGATGACTCCTGATGAAAGTAATATAAAGCCACTTGTAGAAGCCCTTGCCTATATCAGGACTTCAGAGCAAAATCTCCGTCTCTGTCTCTGTCTCTCTGTCTCTCTGTCTCTCTCTGTCTCTCTCTCTGTCTCTCTCTCTCTCTCTATATATATATATATGTGAAGGAAACAAAGTTGATAAGGTAAAGGCATATATACAATGTTAGCCACTGAACATAGCTGAAGGAATGAATAAAACTAGTTAGAAGATTTAACAACTTATTCTTGGGTTTTTAATACTTATTTGTTTCATGGCGTATACTTTTAGGTTACCTATTGATATGGATTGGCTGTTGCCCCACTCATAATTATCATCTTGAAGCTCCCATAATTATCATGTGTCATGGGAGAGACCCTGTGAGAGGTAGTTGAATCATGAGAGCATGTTTTTCCTGTGCTTTTCTTATTTATATAATATATATATATTTATATATAAATAAATATATATATATAATGTGTGTGTGTGTGTGTGAGTGTTTGGTTGTGTATGGATGATGATAATTTTCTTAACTCTTATTGGCTTATTTCCAGAGGAAAGTGAGGTCTAATTAGTAGGGACTCAAATAATTTACCTAAATTATGGAAGATGTTTAATAAAATAGAATAGATGGATGGCTGGATTGTGTTGGCTAGTACAAAATAATCTTTGATTCACAATATCAGAGTCAGACCATCATCAGTTTGATTTGTTTTCTTTCTACTCTAAAGAAAGAAAAATTCTCATAAACAGTTCACAGTCTGCTTCTCTTGTTTTTTCCCAAACCAAATTTGTCATAAACAGAGTTTTAGGATGTGTGCACTACATATTGTTTCACTTAATTCTTTTTCGTAAATCCTCTTTCCAGTTATCTGCAAGGAGGGAATTACTTCTCTCCTTTCCATGGTGTGGAAGCTTGTATTTTCTCACACAAAAAATACAAAAGGAATTCACAAATATTCAAAGAGACTTCAGCATTAATAACCAAACCAAAACAAACTCTGACTATACAAAAATACTCTGTCTTAGTAAAATAAATGTTAAAAAGTAAAAATTAATTTTTCGTACTCTCAAACTTATTCTATTATACTTTAAAAATATAGGCAAAAGAGATACTAAATTAGAAAGATATATACAAAAGCATCTTTAAAAACCCTCATGTTTGCCCAAGAGTCATGTATGTAGTGTGTGTACACACAGCCTGTAGTTTAAAAGAAATCTTTTAAAAATGCAAGAGATCACGCCTGTAATCCCAGCACTTTGGGAGGCCGAGGCGGGCGGATCAAGAGGTCATGAGATCAAGACCATCCTGGCTAACACAGCGAAACCCCATATCTACTAAAAATACAAAAAAATTAGCCGGGCATGGTGGCGGGCACCTGTAGTCCCAGCTACTTGGGAGGATGAGGCAGGAGAATGGTGGGAACCCGGGAGGTGGAGCTTGCAGTGAGCCGAGATCGTGCCACTGCACTCCAGCCTGCGTGACAGAGCGAGACTCCGACGCAAAAAAAAAAAAAAAAAAAATGCAAGAGAGGTAAAGCCAACAGAACCTGCATTTTGTTGCTTCTGCAAGTGTAGAAATGAACTCAAATAATTCTTCTGCTGTTGTAGGTAATCTACTGTTATCACTACTTCTACTCTCACAACCATAGTTAAAATTTATTAAAGTCTTAACTTATGCCAAGCACTTCTCTAGGGCTTTACATATATATTTTGTACTAGGTACTCACAACAACCCTCCAGAGTAGGTACCATTATTATAACTATTTTCAAATCGGAAAACTGAGGCATATATATTAGGGAAATGATTCAAGCAGTGCTATGAGGAAGTTATAAATTGAGGATTTACCTCACGCATTCTGACTTGAGAGCCCAGTCTTTAAGTCACTGCACTATGATTGCCTTCCATTAGCAAAAAGAAAGAAAGTTGAGAAGGTAAATGCATGTATGCAATGTGAGCTACTGAACATAGCTGAAGGAATGAATAAAACTAGTTAGAAGATTTAACCACTTGTTCTTGGGTTTTTAATATTTCTTTGTTTCGTGACATATACTTTTAGGGTACTAATTGATATGGTTTGGCAGTGTTGCCACCCAAATCTCATCTTGAAGGTCCCATAATTACCATGTGTTGTGAGAGGGACCTGGTGAGAGGTAATTGAATCCTGAGGGCATGTCTTTCCTGTGCTGTCCTTGTGATAGTGAATAAGTCTCATGAGATCAGATGGTTTTATAAATGGGAGTTCCCCTCCACAAGTTCTCTTACCTGCCACCATGCAAGACGTGACTTTGCTCCTCATTCGCCTTCCACCATGATTGTGAGACTTCCCCAGCCATGTGGAGCTGTGAGTCAATTTATCCTCTTTCCTTTACCCAGTCCTGGGTATGTCTTTATTAGCAGTGTGAGAACAGACTAACACACCTGTGATTTAATGAAAATGCATAAAATCCATCTTTGATTGACTATCAATTACTTAAACAAATAATTTACCTTTTAGTCTCATCTGAATGGATATTTACATTAGAGAGGAAAATCACACATGCACAAATACCTGTCAATATTAGAGAATAATTTGTCTATTTCACCCTGACATAATGATAGTATTTATTTATGAGGTTTAGTTATTCAACTGTTATTTTTGCATACTTACTAAGTGCAAAGTTCTATGGGAACATAAAGGGTAAAAAGAAGACACAGCTCATTCTTCATGCAATTTATTATGTAGGAAAGGTAATACATGTGCATGAAATTAGTACAGTCTAAAATTGAATATGTATCAATGATAAATGTGAATAAGGTAATATGGAAATTGCGTGGTTGATCTTTGCTCCAAGCAATCTACTATAGTTCTGATAGCACACCCTGCAACCTCTGATTGCCAAGATGTGTAATTCAATAACATCCTTCTGTAATAAAAACCTTATTTTTATTACATGGTGTGTGAAGTAGAATTTTATTTTATTTAGACTTAATTATTTTATCTGTCAGTATTGACAGATTTTAACTTTTTGACACATTAAACATTTTGTTCTACATGGTTTATGATGAGAAGTCTGCAGTTACTCTAAATTCTATGGTTTTTTTTATATAATGGCTGTTTTTTTCTGAGGCTGCTCTCAGGATATTTTTCTTTACCTTTTATTTTGAGCAATTTGTGGGAATCTAGGATTTTTTTTCATATTGATCTATTTTCGGATTTGCTGCCCTTCTTTAATGTGTAAATTTATGTCTTTCACCAAATGTGGAAAGTTTTGACTGTTATTTCCTCAAATAATTGTTTTCTTCCCCTTTCCTGCTCACTTTTCCTTCTGGAACTCCAATTGTGTTTATTTCTGGCCATGTGATACTGTCAAACAGGTCCCTGAGGCAATCTGTCAATCTTTCTCTCTCTAATGTATGCATAATAATACAATATAACATAAAATGCAATATAATATATACTATAATGTGTAAATATCATAATATTAACTATAGCTATAGCTCTCAGTTTTACTCTTCTTCAGATTAAATAATTTCAATTGCTGTATCTTTAAGTTTACTGAATTTTTGATATTATGCCTCTCCAGTGATTTTTTTTAAAACACTCGTATTTTTCAATTCTAGAGTATTCATTTGGAGCTTTTTATAGCTTTAATTTCTGATATATCTTATCATTTTATTCATTATAAGCTTACAAATCTGTCTAGTTGAGCATAGCAATAATAGCAACTTTAAAGTACTTGTCTGATAATTTCAAGATCTTGGTAATCTTGAGGTTGACATCTATTAACTGCCTTTACTGTTTAGAAGAAGCATCGTTTAAAAATATTTTTCATCTAATATTTTTGAATTATACTTTGGAACTTGTACAGGGTGTGCCATGGAGAATATAGATTCTTTTTCATCTCCCTGAAAAATTTCATTTGGTTTTAGCAAGACAATAACTTATTTAGAATCAAACTGAAAGCTCTGTTTTGTATGCAATGGGCAGCAGCTTAAATCTTACCAATTCTGTTTTCCTTAGCTAGTCTTTTTTAAGTCTCCCTTGTGCCCTGGTGCATGAGCAGCTGCAGAATCAGGCAGAGGTTTGGGCACAGTTTGCAGTCTTATCACTTTCGTGTGGCAGTGGTTGTAGTGGTTGTCATAGACTCTGTCCTCTAGTTCATCAGGTTAATACAATGGTAGGTTTTTATCTCAATATAGTTGCTATTGCTGTACTGCAATCTGCTCTCAGAATAAAGCCATAACATGGAGAAATTCAATCCATGTCAATTGCTTCTTCCAAATTTCCATCCCCCTACAAAATCTGCCTGCTTTTGCTCACTCTGAAGAGCCTCAACATGCATAGGGTGTCTATTCAACAAAGTTTTTCAGGATTTGGTAAATGTTGCATAGTTCATTTAATGATCATTGAAGATATAGGTAAGAATCATCTTTCTCTTTAGTCTTTGTTTTTCTAAAATGCTTTTTATGAGTATTTTTTTGTTTTCTGACGGGTTTTCTATACCCTATTTTTTTATTAAAAATAGTGTGTAACTCTTTTGGGTCATGGTAAGACAAGGGTTTATCTTTCCTAAACAGTATAAATCTCCTAGACACCTTCCCTGAGTTGTGACCAACAACTGTAATTTACTGAGCTGACATAATTTACCATGAAAAGTGTCGCTGTGAGTAAATATACATTAAAATTATTTTAAATTAGTAATACTGAGATTAATGTTGTCAGGACCACTGACTTACAAGGAATTAAAAGCTGCTGCTCTCTGTCAGGTTGTGCCAACAAATAAACTAGTGTAGGACAAAGCATTTT
Organism: Homo sapiens; assembly: GCF_000001405.40. Taxonomy (NCBI): domain Eukaryota; kingdom Metazoa; phylum Chordata; class Mammalia; order Primates; family Hominidae; genus Homo; species Homo sapiens. The sequence continues at coordinate 51,358,993 of NC_000002.12, forward strand.
GGCTAATGATATTTTGATGACAACGATGATAGCCAAAACTTCAATGGGAATAAAAAGATTTGGAAAAACCTACCATTTCCGTAAAGTTGATCTACATAATTCAAAATAACATAAAATGTAAAATTATATTCATTTATATTTGCCTATTAAACTCTGGATAAGGATAATCATACATGTTAATTGTGATAGTGGTTGCTAATATAATATCACTTCAAGGAAAGGAAGTCTGCATTTATTAAGTGTTTTTTATCTTTTAGACATTTGTTCATCTTTTAGACTATTCTTTCATTTAGTCATTATAACATCCTTGAAGGTTGTTATTAGCATTGTATTATAGATGGAAAAAAGTCAGATTCACAGTAACTCAGAATCATCTTCTTAAAGTTGCCATGTGAGGGATTCAGACTCTTGAGTGATGCTTTGCACCGTAACTTATGGCCTTCAAACAACCTTTAAAAAGCCTCCTTTCTACTAAATATTTTTACTTTGTTTCTGTTGTCTAAAATTCTTTGATCAGCACATTAAATATTTAAAATTAGAAATAATTCTTAACATACAAGCATCCTTAGGAGAGATACTACATTGACTCAAATTCAAATTTACAGTATTCATGTCAGGTGTCAGGATCTATCTTTTAATCATTACTTTATTCAATAAGTATCTTGTCTATTGTCTGTCATGTTCAATTCACTGTGTAGATGATAGAAGCAGGCTTTAATGGAGCAAAGTGGATATGGTGATAGATGAGGATAAAACATACAGCATTGGGTATCACTGTACAACAGTATAACATTGATAAGAAGGCTTCAGATGGCAAAATCGTGCTTTCACAAATTTTCAGCTTTTGCTGAGACTGATCCAGTCCATTTGTACACTGGTTTAATGCAATTATGAAGTAAAATTTTCCCTTGAGAGTAGCATAAGGCCTTTATTCTGAATGGGATTACTGAGTTACCAAAGATGCTTTCACTTTTATTTATTGAAAATATGTTAAAGATCAGACGGTTGTAGGTGTGTGGTATTATTTCTGAGGGCTCTGTTCTGTTCCATTGGTCTATATCTCTGTTTTGGTACCAGTACCATGCTGTTTTGTTTACTGTAGCCTTGTAGTGTAGTTTGAAGTCAGGTAGCGTGATGCCTCCAGCTTTGTTCTTTTGGCTTACGATTGACTTGGCAATGCAGACTCTTTTTTGGTTTCATATGAACTTTAAAGTAGTTTTTTCCAATTCTGTGAAGAAAGTCATTGGTAGCTTGCCGAGGATGGCATTGAATCTATAAATTACTTTGGGCAGTATGACCATTTTCGTGATATTGATTCTTCCTATCCATGAGCATGGAATGTTCTTCCATTTGTTTGTGTCCTCTTTTATTACGTTGAGCAGTGATTTGTAGTTCTCCTTGAAGAGGTCCTTCATATCCCCTGTGTGATGGATTCCTAGGTATTTTATTCTCTTTGAAGCAATTGTGAATGGGAGTTCACTCATGATTTGGCTGTCCGTTTGTCTGTTATTGGTGTATAAATTCTTATACTTGAGATTTTTGCACATTGATTTTGTATCCTGAGACTTTGCTGAGGTTGCTTATCAGCTTAAGGAGACTTTGGGCTGAGAAGATGGGGTTTTCTAAATATACAATCATGTCATCTGCAAACAGGGACAATTTGACTTCCTCTTTTCCTAATTGAATACGCTTTAATTCTCCTGCCTGATTGCCCTGGCCAGAACTTCCAACCCTCTGTTGAATAGGAGTGGTGAGAGAGGGCATCCCCGTCTTGTGCCAGTTTTCAAAGGGAATGCTTCCAGTTTTTGCCCATTCAGTATGATATTGGCTGTGGCTTTCTCATAAATAGCTCTTATTATTTTGAGATACATCCCATCAATACCTAATTTATTGAGAGTTTTTAGCATGAAGGGCTGTTGAATTTTGTCAAAGGCCTTTTCTGCATCTGTTGAGATAACCATGTGGTTTTTCTCTTTGGTTGTGTTTATATGCTGGATTACATTTACTGATTTGCGTATGTTGAACCAGCCTTGAATCCCAGGGATGAAGCCCACTTGATCATGGTGGATAAGCTTTTTGATGTGCTGCTGGATTCAGTTTGCCAGTATTTTATTGAGGATTTTTGCATCGATGTTCATCAGGGATATTGGTCTAAAATTCTCTTTTTTTGTTGTGTCTCTGCCAGGCTTTGGTATCAGGCTGATGCTGGCCTCATGAAATGAGTTAGGGAGGATTCCCTCTTTTTCTATTGATTGGAAAAGTTTCACAAAGAATGGTACCAGCTCCTCCTTGTTCTTCTGGTAGAATTCAGCTGTGAATCCGTCTGGTCCTGGGCTTTTTTTGTTTGGTAGGCTATTAATTATTGCCTCAATTTCAGAGCCTGTTATTGGTCTATTCAGAGATTCAACTTCTTCCTGATTTAGTCTTGGAGGGTGTATGTGTCCAGGAATTTACTCATGTCTTCTAGATTTTCTAGTTTATTTGCGTAGAGGTGTTTATTGTATTCTCTGATGGTAGTTTGTATTTCTGTGGGATTGGTGGTGATATCCCCTTTATCATTTTTTATTGCACCTATGTGGCTCTTCTTTCTTTTCTTCTTTATTAGTCTTGCTAGCGGTCTATCAATTTTGTTGATCTTTTCAAGAAACCAGCCCTGGATTCATTGATTTTGTGAAGGGTTTTTTGTGTCTCTATCCCCTTCAGTTCTGCTCTGATCTTAGTTATTGCTTACCTTCTGCTAGCTTTTGAATGTGTTTACTCTTGCTTTTCTAGTTCTTTTAATTGTGATGTTAGGGTGTCAAACTTAGATCTTTCCTGCTTTCTCTTGTGGGATTTAGTGCTATAAATTTCCCTCTACCCACTGCTTTAAATGTGTCCCAGAGATTCTGCTATGCTGTGTCTTTGTTCTCATTGGTTTCAAAGAACATCTTTATTTCTGCCTTCATTTCGTTATGAACCCAGTAGTCATTCAGGAGCAGGATGTTTGGTTTCCATGGAGTTGAGCAGTTTTGAGTGAGTTTCTTAATTCTGATTTCCAGTTTGATTGCCCTGTGGTCTGAGAAACAGTTTGTTATAATTTCTGTTCTTTTCCATTTGCTGAGGAGTGCTTTACTTCCAACTAAGTGGTCAATTTTGGAATAAGTGCAATGTGGTACTGAGAAGAATGTATATTCTGTTGATTTGGGGTGGAGAGGTCTGTAGATGTCTATTAGGTCTGCTTGGTGCAGAGCAGAGTTCAATTTGTGGGTATCCTTGTTAACTTTCTGTCTCCTTGATCTATCTAATGTTGACCGGGGGGTGTTAAAATCTCCCATTATTATTGTGTGGGAGTCTAAGTCTCTTTATAGGTCTCTAAGGACTTGCTTTATGAATCTGAGTTCTCCTGTATTGGGTGCATATATATTTAGGATAGTTAGTTCTTCTTGTTGAACTGATTCCTTTACCATTATGTATTGGCCTTCTTTGTCTCTTTTGATCTTTGTTGGTTTAAAGTCTGTTTTATCAGAGACTAGGATTGCAGCCCCTGCCTTTTTTTGTTTTCCATTTGCTTGGTAGATCTTCCTCCATCCCTTTATTTTGAGCCTATGTTTGTCTCTTCATGTGAGGTGAGTCTCCTCAATACAGCACACTGATGGGTCTTGACTCTTTATCCAATTTGCCAGTCCGTGTCTTTTAATTGGAGAATTTAGCCTATTTACATGTAAGGTTAATATTGTTATGTATGAATTTGATCCTGTCATTATGATGTTAGCTGATTATTTTGCTTGTTAGTTGATGCAGTTTCTTCCTAGCATCGATGGTCTTTACAATTTGGCATGTTTTTGCAGTGGCTGGTACCGGTTGTTCCTTTCCATGTTTATTGCTTCCTTCAGGAGCTCTTTTAGGGCAGGCCTGGTGGTGACAAAAACTCTCAGCATTTGCTTGTCTGTAAAGGATTTTATTTCTCCTTCATTTATGAAACTTAGTTTGGCTGGATATGAAATTCTGGGTTGAAAATTCTTTTTTTAACAATGTTGAACATTGGCCCCCACTCTTTTCTGGCTTGTAGAGTTTCTGCTGGGAGATGTGCTGTTAGTCTGATGGGCTTCCCTTTGTGTGTAACGCAACCTTTCTCTCTGGCTGCCCTTAACATTTTTTTCCTTCATTTCAACCTTGGTGAATCTGATAATTATGTGTCTTGGAGTTGTTCTTCTCGAGGAGTATCTTTGTGGCATTCTCTGTATTTCCTGGATTTGAATGTTGGCCTGCCTTGCTAGGTTGGGGAAGTTCTCCTGGATAATATCCTGCAGAGTGTTTTCCAACTTGGTTCCATTCTCTCCATCACTTTCAGATACACCAATCAGATTTAGATTTGGTCTTTTCACATAGTCCCATATTTCTTGGGGGCTTTGTTCATTTCTTTTTACTCTTTTTTCTCTAACTTCGCTTCTCGCTTCATTTCATTCATTTGATCTTCAATCACTGATACCCTTTCTTCCAGTTGATCGAATCGGCTACTGAAGCTTGTGCATTCATCATGTAGTTCTCAAGCCATGGTTTTCAGCTCCATCAGGTCATTTAAGGACTTCTCTACACTGTTTATTCTAGTTAGCTATTTGTCTAATCTTTTTTCAAGGTTTTTAGCTTCTTTGCAATGGGTTCAACCTTTGACAAACCTGACAAAAACAAGAAATGGGGAAAGGATTCCCTATTTAATAAATGGTGCTGGGAAAACTGGCTAGCCATATGTAGAAAGCTGAAACTGGATCCCTTCCTTACACCTTATACAAAAATTAATTCAAGATGGATTAAAGACCTATGTTAGACCTAAAACCATAAAAACCCTAGAAAAAAACTTAGGCAATACCATTCAGGACATAGGCATGGGCAAGGACTTCATGTCTAAAACACCAAAAGCAATGGCACCAAAACCGAAATTGACAAATGGGATCTAATTAAACTAAAGAGCTTCTGCACAGAAAAAGAAACTACCATCAGAGTGAAAAGGCAGCCTACAGAATGAGAGAAAATTTTTGCAATCTACTCCTCTGACAAAGGGCTAACATCCAGAATCTACAAATAACTCAAACAAATTTACAAGAGAAAAACAAAGAACCCCATCAACAAGTGGGCAAAGGATATTAACAGACACTTCTCAAAACAAGACATTTATGCAGCCAAAAGACACATGAAAAAATGTTCATCATCACTGGCCATCAAAGAAATGCAAATCCAAACCACGATGAGATACCATCTCACACCAGTTAGAAGGGCGATTATTAAAAAGTCAGGAAACAACAGGTGCTAGAGAGGATGTGGAGGAATAGGAACACTTTTACACTGTTGGTGGGACTGTAAACTAGTTCAACCATTGTGGAAGACAGTGTGGCGATTCCTCAAGGATGTAGAACTAGAAATACCATTTGACCCAGCCATCCCATTACTGGGTATATACCCAATGGATTATACATCATGCTGCTATAAAGACACATGCACACGTATGTTTATTGCGGCACTATTCACAATAGCAAAGACTTGGAACCAAGCCAAATGTCCAACAATGATAGACTGGATTAAGAAAATGTGGCACATATACGCCATGGAATACTATGCAGCCATAAAAAATGATGACTTCATGTCCTTTGTAGGGACATGGATGAAGCTGGAAAACATCATTCTCAGCAAACTATCCCAAGGACAAAGAAAACAAACACCGCATGTTCTCACTCATAGGTGGGAATTGAACGATGAGAACACTTGGATGCAGGGTGGGGAACATCACACCCTGGGGCCTGTTGTGGGGTGGGGGGAGTGGAGAGGGATAGAGATATACCTAATGTAAATGACAAGTTAATGGGTGCAGCACACCAACATGGCACGTGTATACATATGTAACAAACCTGCACGTTGTGCACATGTACCCTAGAACTTAAAGTATAATAAAAAAAGAAAATATGTTATAATGTTATGAAAATTTCCAAGCAAAGGAACCATAACAAAAAATTATTAACTGTGACACCAGGCAGCTTTGGAGTCATAAGAGCAATTGATTGTCATTGTTATTTGGGAGCTGTAATAAAATTTATGTCTAGAAATAGCCCACAATTGGTGGACAGTAGGCTATATTATAGTGTTTTTTATTTGTTTTGTTTTTACTACATAAAGTTGATTGTTTCTAAAACACTGGTTTCACAACTAGTGCCAGAAACTCATTTTATTGAGGTCAATCCAAAAATTAAAATTTGATAGGATGTGAAATATCCTCTTTTGCAAAAATACTGTAGGACACTATCTAATAAGGGTGGTTTTAGTCACCAACCTCCCCAACCCAACCCTAATTCCTACAACAGAATTATCTTGTCTAGAATTACCTTGTAGGTATATCTAATTAGAACAGTGGTTTTGAGAAACTCTAGGGAAAGTTCCAGCAAATAGAAAGTAGGAATAGACAGATGGTGATTATAAATATAATTAGACTATTTAAAGGCAGCAAAATTCCCTCTTTTGGAAATATCAGATTGATATGCTTTAATTATTTTCAGACCTCTGGCTCCAAACATGGCTATTCATTTAGGAAGACAAATGCTTCAAATAATTGGTAGATATAAAGTAGAAATGAGAAAGAACACTTTCACTTTGATCACCTTAGGCTTTTGTTTCTACCATTTGTTTGTGTATTTACAGAATTGTTATATATGTTTTAGGTAATGATTTAAAATGAGCAAATGCAAAATACGCATTTCGAAATCACTATGTTTTTGAATGAACTTTCAGGAGAAAGGAAATTTATTTAGATCAATTTTCTATCCAAGTGGGCTTAATATCACGTTTTACTTTTGATTTCTAAAGAACTGGATAATTGTTTAATCTCATCTGAAAGAATATTTCCCATTATTTTAACGTGGGCAATTTTTGTAATGAACTCTTTCAGTGTAAATAAAATTTACCTAAAGGGATAGCCGATGGCTCCAGTAATCTTGGATACTTTTAAACAAGTATCTCTATTGTTTTCTTTTACTAAAAATGTTATTATAAAATATCTGTCCTTCTACATTAATCTCTGAATAGCCATCACTATGGCATTGGAGTATACACTAAATTGTTTTAATATTTTCCAATGAAAACTAAAAATCCCTGTAAAATATTGAAAGTAATAATTGATTTCCCAGAAATAGTTCAGATGGTGAATTGCCATTGCCATACCAATGTATGTAAACTAAACAAAAGCCACATAAGTTCAGGTGGTTTTATGCCTACAGCTTTTAAATTTCTCTCTTGACAATGGAACATTGCTATAAAACTAACAGCAGAGATCTAAAAGAACCACAAGTTCTTCATACAATGAATGAAGAATTAGCACATTGAGAAAGCTCGTTTATATTCACCAAACAAATAAATGGCATTTACTACATTTTCATAATAAAATAAAAGCAGAGATTTGGGCTTGTATGGTATTTTCACATCCATGCATATATTATATCTAGTGCACAACCAGCGTATTTCTAGACATAGAGTGAAAAGTCAGCCACTAACAGTACATGGTTTGTGAGGTATAAAATATTTTTTGTCTCCAAATTTCTTTCTAATTGGATCGCCACTCTACCTATATACATAATATAAACAAATACATATATAATAAACATTTACATATTCATTTACATTTTTAATTACTAAATCCAGAAATTTCACATTAAAATGTTCCTGAGAGAACAATGTCACACATTGGTGGTTTCTCATGTTAGTAATGCACTTTGAACCTGAAAGGAAAAAGAAACTGAAGGAAAAAAAAAACTGAGGACAAATTTCACAAACTTCTAAATGTTCCCTGAGAGCAAACTGAAAACCTATCTCTATATCTATCTATATCTATATCATCCATATCTATATGAATATCATTATCATCTATATCTGAATACAGATAAAATATAGATATATGTTATCCCAGTTTTACTGCTCCCAGAAAATAAAAACTGTAAAGAAATTCAACAAACATACAAAGTAACAACCATGGTGTTATGCACTGGCACCAAAAAATAGGCTCTCCCTCAGTTTTATATTAGAGGCAAGTATTTTAAGTTCCCATGGCATAAATAAAGTTGTAATTGCTTCCCATTTTAATTAAGAACCCATTTCAAACTCAGGAAGGCTGAGTAGCTGTTTGAAGTGTTTATGCCGTAGGCAGCTGGAGGCATTGAACAGGGGTAATTAGAAGGACATTTTTGTGTGGTAGGTTTGGCCAAAATTGGTCAGCTTTGAAGAGCTGCTCCATTTCAAAAATAATAATTACATACACAAAAAGAATTCCTTTGAATATGAAGGGTTTCATAGACTTCATCCAGTTTTACTGTCGTTGTGCTCAATAACTTATGACGACGGTTCGTAAACATTTTTGTGCCATACTTCTTTTGCAGCCTGGTGAATCATTTGAACTGTTTTCCAAAATAATGTTTAAAAGTACAAACTAAAATATATGATATTATAGTGGATACCAATTATATTTTAATGTTAGTATATTTGTAAGTAGATATTTGACATATACTTATATATGTGCTTCCTTATGACATTAAATAATAAGATCTAGCAGCAGATCTAATATGTACGGTAATTTTGAAGTAGTGATGAATGTACATTGTATTTTGAAATATCTGCAACAACCATCATATATGACAATATCTGTGGCTTTTATTGGTGATAACATTATAGAGAATGATAGTCCTACCATAGTTTGTCATCTTCATTCATTATAGAAGGAAATGCTAAATTTCCACTAGAAATTAATTAATAAAGATGTAATATTTTTCTTATTGAAGTTCATGATCCCTTTAATTTCTATTCAAAATTTTTTGATGAAAAATTCCTAATTTATGCTGTTATAATAAATGCACTTTAGACTTTTCATAGTAGTGTATGGCTATGTTCTATTGCATTCTGACTATGTAACAGAAAATATGGGCCTTAAACTTTATCTTATTCAATCTTTATAACAATTATCTAATGTAAGAATTATTATTTCCTTTTACAGATTAGCAAGTAGAAGCTAAAACTAACACTATAGGTAGGTCACAAAACTAAGATGCCAATTTTAGATTGGAAAATAAAATATTTTAATCTCCATACCTACTTATGGAGACATATAGAAATATTCTTCTAATTACATTTTATACAATACATACAAACAAATTGAAATGGTGCCTTTTATTTTAAAAATCAGAACTAGAACTCAGGTCTTCAGAATCCCATTTTAGCATTCTCTCAAAAAAAAAAAAAAAAAAAACCCACAACACCGTCTGGTGATAGTTGCAATTCAAGAAACTATTCCGTCCAAATAGCCCATGATAGAATGCCAATGCTCTGAAAACTGCGACTTGAGAAAGAAATTTGCTCAAGGGATCACGGAAACAATTCCCCCATGAGAAAAGCCAGTGATAAGTGGAATTATCTCCATCTGCTGACTAAAGAGTACACAATAAGATTATATAACCTGAGCAAACACTAGACAAGTAGAAAAGTGTTCACTTCTGAGAATCAAGTTCAGGCAACTAAGCCTTGCTGCAGTTTTGTATAGAATCTCCTAAACTTAGAGAGGAAAGCAATAAAAAGAAGTCATCTTAGTATCATCACAGCCTCAAGATTGGTCTTATAACCAAAACTTTGTAGGCCAGAGGTGCCAATATTAACTGATTCACCATACAATCAATACAGACGAACACAGAGATTTCAAAGATTCAATTCACCAAAGTCTTAGGAAAAGTAAGTGTGCCAAGAACTGTACTGTTACTTGAGATTTGTGCCATCAAGAAATTTTACAGCACTATATGACATGTTTTAGTAAGAACTCTAATTGAGCTGTAGTCTTAACTGGATAGAAATCCCTTCTGACTCAAAACCTCAGAAAAGGCTTCATGAAGGGCTTGGCCTTTGCCCTAAATCTTGAAGACTAGAAAGGATTCTATTAGGAAAAGAGACATTTTAGAAAAATTTAGATAATATTACACATGAAAGACAGGACTTTAAATGAGTGATATTTAGAATTTTAATCTAAATTATAGAAGACATTGGAGCAATAGACTAAAAGGACAAGATATTTTGTAATGAAGAAAATTCAAGTAGCAATCTGGTAGAATGTAGGGAAAAAATGATAGGTATCAGATACACTTACAATCTCATCTATGAAGTTTGTTTTGGAATGGAATAAAAAAGTCACCAAGACACTTGGGAGACATAGACTTTACGGCTTGGCAAAGATTGTATGTGGGGTTAAAAGAAGAGACAGTTGTCAAGGAGGACCTCAAGATCACTAACTTGGTTAACTTGGTAAATTAGAAGAGAATTTCGAAGTCAGAAAATGAAAAAGAGCAGATAAGGAAGATAATATTATTATTTCATATGTGAAGAGCAAACATTTTCAGTGGCAATGGGAGAACTTCACAAACATTTTCAATAGAAATTTGGAAATATAGTCTTAGACTTCAGAGGAGGTGCTAGAATCTGTAACAGTGATTTGGCCATTATAGATAAATGTCAAAGGTATATATGAAACATTGCAAAGAAAGGAAGCAGATAAGAAGAGAAAAATTGATACAATGAAGAACATAGAGTGATGTCAGATGAGAAAGGGAAGCCAACACACATACTAGCACCTAACATGGAAAATGCTTTAAATAAATATTCAAGTAAAGAACGCGTGTTTGAAAATTGGGTAAGAACATCAAGAGAGATAAAAGGAGAGGAGTCTTTAATTATTGTCAGAATTAAAGACGAAGTGAGTCTCAAAAAGCTACTGACAAACAGCAGCAATTTTATAGGAATGAAACCTAAGAAGGGACTGGTTGATTTTGGCAACTTAGAGGTCATTAATTTCCCTTGTAAGGTCAATTTATGGGACAAAATAAGATTGCAGTATTTTGAGGAATTAGTAGAATATGAGAAATTGAAATCAGAAAAGCTACATTCAACTTTTGAGACTTTTTTTGTAAAAGATAAAAGTATGATATTTGAATTAGAAGCAAGATTAAGATACTTTTTTTAGAATATAAAAGAATTGAACATTTTTATTGACCCTTTGGACTGGTGATAGATAAATGCAGAAGAAAGAAATGGAAAGAATAATTGGACAAAGTCCCAGAGGACAGAAGAGGAATAGAATTGAGAGCGAATTAGAAAGATCATATGTGAAGAGGCATAAGAATAAGATGTCTTATGGAAGGAGAAATGTATTGAACTCCTATGCTACTCCCTTAGAGTAGGTTTAACTCACTCCTACTTGACATTAGTAAGCGATTGGGAGAGCTATGAAGGCACCAAGCTGCCCAAATTGTGAGTAACTTAAGTCAAATCATGAAACCAGCAGGAGAATATGCTCTGCAATGTTCCAGTCCAGTGGCAGACCTGTGAAGCAGTCTGACTCACAGAAATTTGTTTTATTTTTGTTATTAGATGTCATGCCAGTGGGGGGAAAAATGATAGACTGGTACTATGTTTAAATATCAGGTTTCTCTTGATCTTTCATGCTCAGTTTATGCAGGTCAATAATTGCATTCCAATATATGCAGACCAAGATACGTGCTCTAAAATCCAATTGTTGTTTGAAGTTTCATTTATCTCAAGGTACAAAATATTTACCAGCTTATCTAACAATAGTATCAATCTTTGTAAACACTCTATTTTTAAATTTTTCATATTACATATTTATATAAATATATATATATATATATTTAGCATAGTAAATTTTTTGCTGCAGTTTTTCCAATGTGATCTATAGTGTTTAAGGTATACTTTATTTACTAAGAATGATTCTGAGAAAGTTAAGGTAGTTTTCTGAATGGGAAAATATAAAGAGAATTAGAAGATTAGGTACAATACCGAAAAATATGCTTCCAAGAAAAGAAAGGTGTCAAATGCATAAATACAAAATGTATATCAAGCATTATCAAAGAGCCCACTCTGATTGGAAGGTTGGCAATGTTGTCTCTATAAAATCATTTGGCAAGTGATAGTAACTAACCAATATTGTACTGTATATCTACTGATAATTTCACTGTTCATCAACTAGTACTCTATACACCACCTACCAACCATCAATGCCAGCACAGACTCCCTACTCATTTTTGAGTAGGGAGGAGGAAACTTCATATTCTCAATTTCAGTGGTGAGATTTGAGTGGGATTCCTAATCTTGAGTTTCCACTACTCAGGCCTGAACAATCACAGTCTTTTGGACCCCTTGCCTCATTTATTGACCAGGGAGTGGCAGTGACAGTTCCTGACAGTTCTGCTCCAGGAATTCTCACACTTTGTAATGTGGACCTGAAGGAGAAGATTGTGCAAATTAGCCCCAGAAAAGGGGAAGTATATTGGGAGCTGCTGGAAAGGGTTACCTGTGGACCTCATCAAAATGAAGAAAAAAAAAAAAGCCTACTACAGATGAATAGCTGATAAAAGAAAACCCTGGAAGTATATACTCAAGGGTTAAGTGCCTAAATGTTTCAGAGCTTCTCTGATTACTGCAGTGATCTTTTTCTTTTTAACAATTCGATATATCTTTGTATTTTTCTTCTAAGTTATTTTGAGCAAGGACTTTTCTACTTTTAATACATTAACTAAAATTGTTTATTGTTTGGAATTTAGCTTTAATTCAGCTTATTTGGCTCCTATGGAAAATAAATAATTAATTCATGAAGCTCTGATTCTGTATTTATGATAGTCACAGTAGAGTAAATGTTAATATGTGATACGATATAGATAATCTTCAAAATTAAAAATGATAAAATGCAGCAATAATGTTTTAACCAAGGAAACAAACTATTTGCAAGTAGTTTGCATTCAAAAAATGTGCCAGTTACAAGTGATTCTTGGTGTTTTATTACAATATATCTCACTGAACACCTATGTGGAAATCAGCTTGTAATTTCACTGAATGGTGTTTGATAATTAAAAAGATAGAAATATCTTTTTTGTTTTATACATGATTAGTACATTCTTATTTTTAAGTTTCTAGACACAACAGCTTAAGTTTATATTTCTGTTCATGTACACCCACATCTACACAGTCCAAAATCAGTGTACTGCCCAGAGATAATCACTATTTTAAATCTAGTATTTATCTTTCCAGATGATATTGTATTTCCATACTTCTTATAAAAATACTTATGAAAATTTATTATTAAAATATTTAGAATTATTTCTATTTGTGGGTGTGTTTCTCTGATTCTCTCATGTATTTTAATGTAAATGTAGCATCTTGTGTAACACTGAATCCTTTTTACTCATTAACACTCTTGGAAGATTTTCCTATGAAAGCAGTCATAAAATTTAATCATCCTTTTAAGTGGTATATATATGTGTGTGTATATATATATATAATTTTTTTTTTTTTTTTGCAAAGGAATCTCACTTTGTCACTAGGCTGGAGTGCAGTGACACGATCTCGGCTCATTGCAACCTCTGCCTCCCGGGTTCAAGTGATTCTGCTGCCTCAGCCTCCCGAGTAGCTGGGACCACAAGTGTGCCACACCACGCCCAGCTAATTTTTGTATTTTTAATAGAGACGGGGTTTCATCTTGTTGGCCATGCTGGTCTCGATCTCCTGACCTTGTGATCCACCCCCTTCAGCCTCCCAAAGTGCTGGGATTACAGGCATGAGCCACTGCACCCAACCTAAATGGTCTATATTATCTGTAATATTGCTGTATCATAGTTTACTTAACCCCATTCTCTACTGATGGGCTTTTAGATGGGATGTGGATTGGTAAACAGTTGGCAGTATTTTTCTGCTAGTGATCAACAATAAACTAACCAATGTTTGTTGCTCTGGGACTCTGGTTACTCTTATTATCCACCCCTTATGCCACTGTCAACATCACATAGGACCAGTATTCCAGGAAGAAACACACACACACACACACACACACACACACACACACACACACACATCCCACAGACACACATTATATCCTGAAAACAATTTAAAAACTCTAAAGTTTAAAAAGAAAGTTATTAACTTCCCTAACATAAATAATCAAACAACAAAAAACTGATAAGTTTTAGAAACAGGATTTGGGGACTTATCTTTATTATTCCAAGACAGCATCAAGTAATTCCTCTCAAAAGTAGAATTAATTAAAATAAAAATTTCCCATGCTAAGATAGGTCCTGCCTCACAGACTGTACTTATAATCTAGTTGAAATTTTTGTGTATTGTTTACATCATATTCATATTTGGAAGGAGTGTTCTGTGAATTGATTTTAGATACTTTTAGACCTGTATTGAAATCTGAATTATTGCCTTGTGTGTGCTATGTCTGTGATAATAAATTAAGTAAGCCTTTGATGGAACTGGTGTGTAATAATTATTTTCTGAGGGCCTCCTAAAAGTAGGATGTTTGCCAATGTCACCGAAGGATAAAATTTTCTGGTGCATGACCTGATCTAAGGAAAGAAATAATAACTCTGTAAATAAATGAAATACTTTTTAATTGTGCTAAGAAGCTTGGCCAGTATGCAACTTCATTGACATTTTGGGAATGCTATTTTTAAAACTATCAGTAAGAGTTGTCAGTGTGTCTCCAGTTGTTGTGTTAATAGCAGATAATCATTGTGAGCAACAATAAAACCTAGTCATATCTGGAAAACAGAGAACTGGAAAAGCTAAGAAGTGGTGACCATGACAACAAGCGGAAAAATTATATTCTGGAAAGTTGAAAACATTCGCTGTTGGTATTATTAAAATAATATTTGTTAAGCAGGGCACCTTGAAAACATAAAGTATTCTCTTCTCAGACTGTGAATCTGTGCCATTCACTGAAGTAGCACAGGTGCTGAATTTAAGAGACGAGGCCAGGCACAGTGGCTCACGCTTATAATCCCAGCACTTTGGGAGGCTGAGGCTGGTGGATCACAAGGTCAGAAGTTGAAGACCATCCTGACCAACATGGTGAAACCCCGTCTCTACTACAAATACGAAAATTAGCCAGGCATGGTGGCGTGTGCCGGTAATCCCAGCTACTCAGGAGGATGAGGCAGGTGAATCACCTGAACCTGGGAGGCGGAGGTTGCACTGAGCCGAGATCACGCCACGGCACTCCAGCCTGGGTGACAGAGCAAGACTCTGTCTCAAAAACAAAAACAAAAACAAAAACAAAAACAAACAAAAAAAAAAAAAAAAGAGAGAGAGAGGAACGTCCAGGCTTCCTACTCTATTACAATCCCATGTAAAAAGGTTGGATAATTAAAGTACACGACAGCATCTCTAGAACTGAGTACTTTGGTTTTTACCTATATGGACTAGGCTTATTTGTAGTGTAAGTGAGGAATAAACGTTTATATTTTGATAGAATAAAATACATTTTAGACAAGTAAAGAAGCATTTTGCTGGGCATGGTGGCTCATGCCTATAATCCTAGCAATTTGGAAGGCTGAGGCAGGAGGTTCGCTTGAGCACAGAAGTTTGAGAGCAGCCTGGGCAACATAGGGACCCCCATCTCTACCAAAAAAGCAGCCTGGGCAACATAGAGAAACCCCATCTCTACCAAAAAAAAAAAAAAAAAAAAAAAAAAAAAAAGCCAGGCATGGTGGCACCTCCCTGTGCTCTCTGCTACTCAGAAGATGGGAGGACAGCTTGAGCCCAGGAGTTCGGGCTGCAGTAACCTATGATCACATCACTGCACATTGCACTCCAAACTGGGTGACCAAAAAAAAAAAAAAAAAAAAAAATTGATGAATTGCTAGGAAAAAAAGGGGGAAAACTCATGCTATATTTTTCCAATTTAAAAAGTACTGAGCCAATTTATCCAAACCAGGGCAATAAAAATAAGTTCAGACTGCTGAGTTTTCTCTAAAATCAAGAAGATATTGAATGTTCTGCATATCTTAAGTAAATTAAGTCATCTAGGAATCTATTATATTTATGAGATATAAAAATCTATTTTTATGCTCTCCTGTTTCAGATTTAATATATGCTATATTATAGAACCTGTATTATAAAGCATAACATTTTATGAACTGAACAGATGGTTCTGTTAATATAACACAGTCGAGTTATTTAAACTTGCATCATTGTTTATACAGAAGTGATCTTAAATGTACCTCAATAAGGATATGAATAGCCTATTTTAATTACATTTAATGAAATGTCAAAAAGCTACGCATTATCCAGAGACATGTGAAATAAAATGTCAGAAAGCTACACATTACTCAGATATGTAAAATAAAATTTCAAATATTAAAATAAAATTTTAATAAATTTAAATTATTGATATAAGAAATATTTGATACTTATTATATAAATTAAGATTTTTAAAATTAATAACAAACATGGTATCAGTTAATATCCAAAACTTAAATATGTGTATTTTAAGGATAAATGTTATTTATTACTTTAGGAATATCTTAAGGATAAATACACAGTTATATGTATTTTAAGGATAAATTGCCACATTTTAATTTCCAAAGTTTCCAGGTATTACAAGAAAATTATGAGCAGGCAGTGTATTCTGAAGGAAAGGACAAGGGGAATTCAATTCCTGTAATGTTAGGATTGACCGAAAGAGCTTAAGATGAATAGCGAAGAGAAGATAATTCACAGATGGACTTGATAGCTGTGTGAAAACATTTATGGAATCATCATATGGAAGAAATAGTAAAATTTAACTCCAAAAATTCAAACACTTAGGTGTAGAAATCAGATATGAACTAATTTAGTTGATATATAAAGATGTTCTTGCTGGCTGTTAGGAAATGAGCAATATAAGAGTGGCTGCATTGCAAAGTTTAGATTCCCTGTCATGGAGGCACTCCTCCACAGTTCAATGACGCTAGCTAAAAGAAGAGAAACATGGTATACCGACTGTGAGTGGATTGGACTCCCTTTTTGGTCTTTTCTAATTATGAGATTATGACAAAATGGAAGTGATATTGTTTGGCTGTGTCCCCACCCAGATCTTAACTTGAATTGTAGTTCCCTGAATCCCCACATGTGATGGGAGAGACCAGATGGAGATAATTAAATCATGCGGGTGGTTTCCCCCATCCTGTTCTCATAAGAGTGAGTTACTTCTCACAAGATCTGATGGTTTTATAAGGGGCTTCCCCCTTCACTTGGTACTCATTTTCTTCTTGCTGCCACATGTGAAGAAGGAGGTGTTTGCTTCCTCTTCTGCCATAATTGTAAGTTTCCTGAGGCCTCCCAGCCATACTGAACAGTAAGTCAATTAAAGCTTTTTCCTTTATAAATAACGCAGTCCCAGGTATGTCTTTACTAGCAGTGTGAGAACAGACTAATATCGTAAATCAGTACCACAGAGAGTGGGGTGCTGCTGTAAAGACACCCAAAAATGTGGAAGTGACTTTAGATCTGGGTAAAGGCAGAGGTTGGAACTATTTGGAGGACTAAGAAGAAGACAGAAAAATGTGGGAGAGTTTAGAACTTCCTAGAGACTTGTAGGGCTCAAAGGACAGGACAACGTGGGAATGTCTGGAACTTCCTAGAGACTTGTTGAAGAGCTTTGACCAAAATGCTGATAGTGATATTGACAATGAAATCCAGGCTGAGGTGGTTTCAGATGGAGATGAGAAACTTCCTGGGAACTGGAGTAAAGTTCACTCAGCATTTTGACCAAGCCCCAGAGATCTATGAAACTTTGAACTTGAGAGATGATTTACAGTATTTGGAGGAAGAAATTTGTAAACAGCAAAGTGTTCAAGAGGTGACTTGGGTGGTGTTAAAAGCATTGGTTTTGTGTATTCATAAAGATATGGTTTGTGAATGAAACTTTTGCTTAAAAGGAAAGCAGAGCATAAAGTTTGAAAAATTTGCAGCTTAATGATATATGTGATAGAAAAGAAAAACCCATTTCCTGAGGAGAAATTCAGGCTGGCTGCAGAAATTTGCATTAGTAACTTGGAGTCAAATATTAATCACTAAGACAATGGGAAAAATGTCTCCAGGGCATGTCAGAGGCCTTTACGGCAGCCCGTCCCTATCACAGGCCCAGAGGCCTAGGTGGAAAAAATAGTTTTGTGGGCCGGAGCCAGGGCCTTGCTGCTTTGTCCAGTCTTTGGGCTTGGTGTGTCTCAGCCATGTCTAAAACAGACAAAGGTGTAGCTCTGGCAATCACTTCAGAGCATGCAAGCCTCAAGTCTTGGCAGCTTCCATGTGGCCTTGCGCCTGTAGGTACAAAGAAGTCAAGAATTGTGTTTTGGGAATCTCTGCCTATATTTCACAGAATGTATGGAAATACCTGGATGTCCGGGCAGAAGTCTCCTGCAGGAGCAGAGCCCTCATGGAGAACCTCCGCTAAGGCAGTGTGGAAGGAAAATGTGGGTCTGAGCTCCCATATAGAGTCCCCACTGGGGCACTGCCTAGTGGAGCTGTGAGTAGCGGGTCACAGTCCTCCAGATCCCAGAATGGTAGGTTTGCTTAAAGCTTGCACCATGTGCCTGGAAAAGCTGCAGACACTCAACGCCAGCTTGTGAAAGTGGCCAAGAGTGGAGCTGTATCCTGCAAAGCCACAGGGCAGAGCTGTGCAAGGCCATAGCAGCCCACCTCTTGCATCAGTGTGACCTGGATGTGAGACATGGATTCAAAGGAGGTCATTTTGGAACTTTAAGGTTTAATGACTGCCCTAATGGATTTTGAACTTGTGTGGGGCCTGTACCACCGTTGTTTTGGCCAATTTCTCCTATTTGCAATGGGCATATTTACCCAATGCTTGTACCCCCATTGTACGGTAACTAATTTTCTTTGATTTTACAGGCTCATAGGCAAAGGGAATTGACTTGTCTCAGATGAGACTTTGGACTTGGACTTTTGAATTAATGCTGGAATGAGTTAAGACTTTGTTGGACTGTTGGAAGGGTATGATTGTGTTTTGAATTGTGATGGTATGAGATTTGAGAGGGGCCAGAAGCAGAATGATATGGTTTGGCTGTGTCCCCATCCAAATCTCATCTTGACTTACAGTTCCCATGATCCCCATGTGTCATGGGAGGGACCAGTGGAGATAGTTGCATCACAGGGGCAGTTTCCCCCATCTGTCCTCGTGACAGTGAGTTAGTTCTCATGAGATCTGATGGTTTTATAAGGGGCTTCTCCTTTCATTGAACACTCATTCTTCTTCTCGTTACAGCCATGTGAAGAAGTACATGTTTGCTTCCCCTTCTGTCATGATTGTAAGTTTCCTGAGGCCTCCAGAGCCATGCTGAACTGTAAGTCAATTAAACCTCTTTTTTTAAATAAATTACCCAGTCCCATGTATGTTTTTATTAGCAGTGTGAGAATGGACTAATACAGGAAGGGAGAGTACAAGTAAAACTCCATAGTATTTAGAGTTTAATGCCACCAAAATTAGTCTACCTATGCCATTATAAGTAGACTGATGCCTTTGTTTAGTTTCAAGAACATTTTTAAGATGATCAGTAATGGATTCAGCATTCTATGTGTATGGTAGAAACAGAAAAAGTAGATGGTTTCACCCTATTTGTAGACTACTGCAAAAACTTTTTAATTTAGTCTTATTTTCTCCTCTAAAAACTTGGCATTAGCTTCTCCAATAGATTGACTATGGTTTCAACTGCCAAAACAAACAATAAACCTCTACCCAAATTAAGACCATATTATACATTCCATTTCATATTCTTAATAAGTTATTTGTAAGCAGCTAAGTGCTAAATCAGTGTTTGCTCAAGAGTAAAGTATAAGAAGAAGAAAATAGGGAGAATAAAAATTAATATTTGCCTTAGATTTACTCCAAATATCACCTGATGAATAAGCCAATAAATATTCTAGAACCAATTCTAGTTTTTTTCTGTTTTCCTTTTTTACTATTTATCACCTTTCTTTATGTTCTTTCCATTCTTCCTTCATGATCCTTGGCTTTTTTGCTCATCTCCATTCCATTATGTTGCTGTTCATTAGCAATTCAGAGTCACAGCAATGGTTTATCAGTTGAAATTGAGCCCACTTATGGGAGACTTAGGTGGGAAAACTTTCTTCCACTGCCATTTGAGAAAGGAGGACCATAGAAAGGAGGGTAGACACCAATGATGATGCTAAAGTAAAAGCTTCTCTTCTGGAGCTTAAAAATTTATATATAACTCTCCTAGCAGAATTTCTAGAAACATTTGGATCCTCACTTTTTTGTTACCAGAACACCATGAACCTCATTTATCAAGTGCAAAATATCTGAGAAAAAATTAGAGGATGAATTGCAATTACAGCAGGAGATTTACTTGGATATTAATTATCATTATTTTTATTTTGCTTTTGTAGAATAATCAAAATGTTGTTTGGTATATCATAATTATTCTCATCCCTTTACCCCCTAATTACCCCTTTTCCTTTGGTGTTATATTATTTTGGAAGCTTTTGTAGAAAAAAATTAAAAGTTGCTTATAGGTGGGCTCTCTTCCTTTATCTTGTGAAAGATGCAAAAAAAAAAAAAAATAAGAGATTGCGTTAGATATTCCAAATGAGAGGGGACATAAAGGGGGCAGAATTGAATTGGAGTAGAAGTTAAATTAAATGTATTTTTTGAATGGGTAGTGAAAGCTAGTGTGTATATCCGGAATAGTATATGCCCATGTTCCAGGTAAGTGGCAATTAATCAAAGGTCTACTATTTCTATGTGCACCCAGGTAGGCTGGATCCCAGAAAGCAGGGTATTTAGATTACCAAAAACCTACCACATTCCTACTTGGAAGGAAAGCAGGAAAGCAACTGCCCATGCCAGGGGACAACATGGATTCAGATAAGGAAAACAATAGCAACAGCCAGGTGGTTGAAATTTACCTGGTTTCTGCCTCTATGTGAGATATAAACTTCTAGAGATTTATGTCATATTCCTAAAAAGAACTCACTTGTGCAATAAAGTACTGTGATTGAATATCATGCCATTTCCATAGGATAAGAAAAATACAATTGAAAGCAGATTTTGTTTTATTGACCTTTAGGTTATAAATCAGAAGTACTGTTTAAAGTGTTTTTCTATATTTCTATTTTAAAATGGAGCTGTGAATACAGATCTTTTTGCTGTTCATTAGCCTTCATCTAGTTTTCCCAGGTATTCTAAAATCAGACAGTTGACTCATAGCTCACACACCAAATCAAGCAAAATTTGGAAGAACACTTAGATTAAACTCTGGGTCTCTTTTCTATTCCTTTTGTAAAAACTGACTGTTTATGTAAATTTAGATGTAAAAATGTCAAGGGACTCTGAAGTCATTTTTGCATTCAAAGATGAGACCTGTCAAAGCATTATGACACATTTGAGTGTCAGGATATGAATGGATAAGGTAATGGTATCATTAAAGCTTTGCTAATATTAAAGTGGGTTGAATATTTCTTGAATCACCTTAGTTCATCCTCTCATCATGGATTTGTAATATGTGGGAGCTAATGTATAGTTTAAATATAATTCTCATTTGCAGAAGAAAATTACTCATAATCTTTTACTATCATATTTAATCTGCATTTTAAACTTTAGATAAAACACTGAATTAAGAAAAAAGAAAATTATATTTAAATGAGAAAAAAATAGAAAAATTAATGAAAAATTTTTGTGTTATAAATTACATATTGACAGATTCCATAGTAGTTAATATAGATTTTTAAAAAGTAACTCCTCAAAGGCATGTAATTAATCTTATAGTTAGGTATGTTATGATGATTGAGCAGGTCTTTGTATGAAGCCAATAGCAGACATCTTGTCAGTCACTTATTTTATTTATTTTTCTCATGAAAATAGGTGAGTACTAAAGGAATATTTGAAAACAAATTGCAACAGTAAAAAGTGAAAGTTCCTCAGCCAATTTTGATTAATTCCATTAACCTCCCAGATACAACTACTGTCCAATAAATGCATATTTATTTACTTACACATACATAGGTTTATCTATATCTATCTCCTGTCTGTCCACACATGTGTATACACACACACACTTATAAATATTTTGAGATTAATGGAATTATACTGTACATATGCTTTGTAACTTTTTTCAATTAACTACATGAAATAAGGAGGTCTATTCATATTATTATCTTAGATCTACCTTATAAATGGCAGCATATTTCATAGAATAAACATAGCAGAACATTTAACTGCTTCTAAGTTTTCTGTCTTACAAAATGATACAATAAATATTTGTGTATTTATTCTTCTTCAGATGTAGCAGTATTTTTCTCAGATAGGTATATAGAAAAAAGAGTTTCTTTTTTTTGGAACTTTTCTTTGTTTGTTTTGTTTTATTATTATTATACTTTAAGTTTTAGGGTACATGTGCACAATGTGCAGGTTAGTTACATATGTATACAAGTGCCATGTTGGTGTACTGCACCCATTAACTCGTCATTTAGCATTAGGTATATCTCCTAATGCTATCCCTCCCCACTACCCCCACCCCACAACAGTCCCCAGAGTGTGATGTTCCCCTTCCTGTGTCCATGTGTTCTCGTTGTTCAATTCCCACCTATGAGTGAGAACATGCGGTGTTTGGCTTTTTGCCCTTGTGATAGTTTGCTGAGAATGATTTCCAGTTTCATCCATGTCCCTACAAAGGACATGAACTCATCATTTTTTATGGCTGCATAGTATTCCATGGTGTATATGTGCCACATTTTTTTAATCCAGTCTGTCGTTGTTGGACATTTGGGTTGGTTCCAAGTCTTTGCTATTGTGAATAGTGTCGCAATAAACATACGTGTGCATGTGTCTTTATAGCAGCATGATTTATAGTCCTTTGGGTATATACCCAGTAATGGGATGGCTGGGTCAAATGGTATTTCTAGTTCTAGATCCCTGAGGAATCGCCACACTGACTTCCACAATGGTTGAACTAGTTTACAGTCCCACCAACAGTGTAAAAGTGTTCCTATTTCTCCACATCCTCTCCAGCACCTGTTGCTTCCTGACTTTTTAATGATTGCCATTCTAACTGGTGTGAGATGGTATCTCATTGTGGTTTTGATTTGCATTTCTCTGATGGCCAGTGATGATGAGCATTTTTTCATGTGTCTTTTGGCTGCATAAATGTCTTCTTTTGAGAAGTGTCTGTTCATATCCTTCACCCACTTTTTGATGGGGTTGTTTTATTCTTGTAAATTTGTTTGAGTTCATTGTAGATTCTGGATATTAGCCCTTTGTCAGGTGAGTAGGTTGCGAAAATTTTCTCCCATTTTGTAGGTTGCCCGTTCACTCTGATGGTAGTTTCTTTTGCTGTGCAGAAGCTCTTTAGTTTAATTAGATCCCATTTGTCAATTTTGACTTTTGTTGCCATTGCTTTTGGTGTTTTAGACATGAAGTCCTTGCCCATGCCTATGTCCTGAATGGTATTGCCTAGGTTTTCTTCTAGGGTTTTTATGGTTTTAGGTCTAACATTTAAGTCTTTAATGCATCTTGAATTAATTTTTGTATAAGGTGTAAGGAAGGGATCCAGTTTCAGCTTTCTACATATGGCTAGCCAGTTTTCCCAGCACCATTTATTAAATAGGGAATCCTTTCCCCATTGCTTGTTTTTCTCAGGTTTGTCAAAGATCAGATAGTTGTAGATATGCGGCGTTATTTCTGAGGGCTCTGTTCTGTTCCATTGGTCTATATCTCTGTTTTGGTACCAGTACCATGCTGTTTTGGTTACTTTAGCCTTGTAGTATAGTTTGAAGTCAGGTAGCGTGATGCCTCCGGCTTTGTTCCTTTGGCTTAGGATTGACTTGGCAATGCGGGCTCTTTTTTGGTTCCGTATGAACTTTAAAGTAGTTTTTTCCAATTCTGTGAAGAAAGTCATTGGTAGCTTGATGGGGATGGCATTGAATCTATAAATTACCTTGTGCAGTATGGCCATTTTCACGATATTGATTCTTCCTGCCCATGAGCATGGAACATTCTTCCATTTGTTTGTATCCTCTTTCATTTCATTGAACAGTGGTTTGTAGTTCTCCTTGAAGAGGTCCTTCACGTCCCTTGTAAGTTGGATTCCTAGGTATTTTATTCTCTTTGAAGCAATTGTGAATGGGAGTTCACTCATGATTTGGCTCTCTGCTTGTCTGTTTTTGGTGTATAAGAATGCTTGTGATTTTTGTACATTGATTTTGTATCCTGAGACTTTACTGAAGTTGCTTATCAGCTTAAGGAGATATTGGGCTGAGACAATGGGGTTTTCTAGATATACAATCATGTCATCTGCAAACAGGGACAATTTGACTTCCTCTTTTCCTAATTGAATACCCTTTATTTCCTTCTCTTGCCTAATTGCCCTGGCCAGAACTTCCAACACTATGTTGAAGAGGAGTGGTGAGAGAGGGCATCCCTGTCTTGTGCCAGTTTTCAAAGGGAATGCTTCCAGTTTTTGCCCATTCAGTATGATACTGGCTGTGGGTTTGTCATAGATAGCTTTTATTATTTTGAGATACGTCCCATCAATACCTAATTTATTGAGAGTTTTTAGCATGAAGCGTTGTTGAATTTTGTCAAAGGCCTTTTCTGCATCTATTGAGATAATCATGTGGTTTTTGTCTTTGGTTCTGTTTATATGCTGGATTGCATTTATTGATTTGCATATGTTGAATGAGCCTTGCATCCCAGGGATGAAGCCCACTTGATCATGGTGGATAAGCTTTTTGATGTGCTGCTGGATTCGGTTTGCCAGTATTTTATTGAGGATTTTTGCATCAATGTTCATCAAGGATATTGGTCTAAAATTCTCTTTTTTTGGTTGTGTCTCTTCCAGGCTTTGGTATCAGGCTGATGCTGGCCTCATAAAATGAGTTAGGGAGGATTCCCTCTTTTTCTATTGATTGGAATAGTTTCAGAAGGAATGGTACCAGCTCCTCCTTGTACCTCTGGTAGAATTTGGCTGTGAATCCATCTGGTCCTGGACTCTTTTTGGTTGGTAAGCTATTGATTATTGCCACAATTTCAGAGCCTGTTATTGGTCTATTCAGAGATTCAACTTCTTCCTGGTTTAGTCTTGGGAGGGTGTATGTGTCCAGGAATTTACTCATTTCTTCTAGATTTTCTAGTTTATTTGCGTAGAGGTGTTTATGGTATTTTCTGATGGTAGTTTGTATTTCTGTGGGATCGGTGGTGATATCCCCTTTATCATTTTTTATTGCGTCTGTTTGTTTCTTCTCTTTTCTTCTTTATTAGTCTTGGTAGCGGTCTATCAAGGCTGTTGATCTTTTCAAAAAACCAGCTCCTGGATTCACTAATTTTTTGAAGGGTTTTTTGTGTCTCTATTTCCTTCAGTTCTGCTCTGATTTTGGTAGAAACAAGAGTTTCTGAGTAAGAGTATCATTTTTAATTTGAAGAATTTAATCTCAAAAGCAGCTGGACTTCTACAGCTTCCTCGATAGGACGTGACTATCTATTTTGTCAAAATCTCCTCAACACTGGATATTAATAATCTAATTTTGATCAATCTCTTTCAATGCATATTGTATCTCATTTTAATTTGCATGTTCTGGATTATTAGAAGGCTTGACAATCATATCTCAGCTGCATTTTTCTGAAACGTATAGACATTTTCCTTGGCATTTTCTTGATGGGTTCTTGTGCTATTTTATATTCTTTTTAGAAACTTAAATATACTCAAAATTTTAACCTTTCATATTATATAGTTCACAAATATATTTTCCAGTTTGTCGCTTAACTTCGTATCTGGTGCTTTTAAAATAATTTCATTTTTTTGTTTTTTACTTTGAGATAGAATCTTGCTATGTTGCCCTGGTTGGAGTGTAGTAGTGCATTCACAACAATCACTGCAGCTCAACTTCTTGGGCTCAAGCAGTCCTCACACCTTAGGCTCCTGAGTAGTTGGGACTACAGGTGTGCACCACCATGCCCAGCTAGTTTTAAAAAACAGTTTTTTTTTTTTGTAGAGACAGGGTCTCCCTATGTGGCCCAGGCTGGTCTTAAACTCCTGGGCTCAAGCGATCTTCCCACTTCAACTTCCCAAAGTGCTGGGGTTACAGGCATGACCCACCACACCTGGTTTTAAGACTTAATTTAAAGCTTATCTACAGCCAGACCTGTCTTTCCTTTATTTATAGGTTTGGGTTTTGGATATTCCTCAAAATTATCTTTGCCAAACTAAATTTTTAAAAATACACTACTATTTCCTCCTCTTCTGGAATTCCTTCTCTCTAGTAAATAAGAAATAAATAATTTATTTAATAACTGATAATATATGTATAGATATAATGTCACCATGATATAAACTGTGAGGAAAGAGTTTGAGTCAGTTAAGTGGCAAGGATGAGTAGAGAAAATCGTTATTTTCTATTAGTTGGTTACAAAACCCTATATGCATAAATGACATTTGATCTGAAACATAAATAAAAGAAGAAAGGAGCCATACACATTTTGGTAATGGCGTTTCAGAGAGAGAAAATAAAAAATGCAAAGGCCTAGAGTCCTGAAAATATGCACATAACAAGGAGGGTAGAATGGTTGCAGCAAATGAGAGAGTGAGCAGTATCTGGATTTGGTTATTCAGGCAGCTGATACAGCAGGGCATCATGGGCACATTGGGGACTTATTCTAAGTGTGACGGGAAGCCACTGCAAACTTTGAGAAAATAATGAAATGATCAGACTTGCATTTGAAAATATTATATCAGGTTGTTTTGTGGAAAACAGACTTTGCAGAAGGTGGCTCAAGATAGGGGAGCAAGAAAGGAATAATGTCTTAGGGTTTTCTGGGGAAACAGAGCCAATGAGATAGACACAGGTATGTAGAAATAAATTTGTTCTGAGGGATTGGCTCATGTGACTATGAAGACTGAGAAGCCTAATGATCTTCCATCTGCAAGTGGAAGAACCAGAAAAGTTGGTGGTGTAGCCCCAGTCCAAACCTGAAAGCCTTAGAACAAGAAGCACCGATGTCCCAGGGCAAGAGAAAACAAATGTCCAAACTTAAGCAGAGAGAACACATTTGACTTTCCTCCACCTTTCTATTCTATTTGAGCCCTCGAAGAATTGGATGATGTGGCCACTCACATTGGTAAGGGTGATTTTCTTTACTCAGTCTACCAATCCAAACACTACTTTTTCTTTTTTCTGAAAATACTCTCACAGAAAGCCCCAGAAATAATGTTTTACCAGCTGTCTGACTTCCTTTCACCCACTTAAGTTGACATAAAATTAATCATCATAAGCTTATCCCTTGTCACCTTGCCACCCATATAAATCTCTTTGTACCATACTTAATCTCCAAATAAAGACAATAACAAGGCCATAATTCTGCCTAACATAATACAACTATTTTGTTTACAACTGAAAATGCACTGATTCCTTCACCACAAGAGGAGATAAAGTCCTTAAATGATGTTTACTTTTCTCTTGATATTCCATAACTTAAATACCATAATGTTAAATTAATAATATATAAACACTATGATACAAAGTCAGTATATCTTATGTTACATGATAAGGGAATAAGGGAGAAAGAGAAAAGATACTTGCTTAATATATGCATATAGACACAAATGTATTCACAACAAAATAAGGAGGAAACACTCATGACAATTATTTCTGTAACTGATCACGTGGTCATAGCTGGTATTTATAACTACCTTCTTTTTCTACCTATTCTCTATTCCCTTCTTCAGCAAGGAGCTCAGCAGATCATGGTTCTATACCTGGCAAGATAACCCAAACTTTCATTCATGAAGGGTCTGAGCCATTAATAGTCATGCCTACATTGGGCTGTTGAAATTTTCCATTGACCTCAATCACAGGGAATAGTAATACTCAGAGATAGCCTAAGGTATCTCTTGGATTTCAGACATACTTTCTCTTACCTTCCTTTTTGGAGTAATAGTCCAACTTACTTTTGTTAGGATCAGTCACCATAGTCAACACCACAACTCCGTTCTTTGGCTGTTGATTTAGGGGAATGGTGAGGAAGGGTGACACAATAGCCAGGTGGCAGTCTTAACTTCTAGTTCAAGGGAATCGTTGTGTCTGCTGGTGGAAATGTAGTTCTTTTGGAACTAAGCCCTCCAGGCCAGCAACCATTATAGTAAAAGGAAGCAAAATTTTTACTAGTGTGTCAATAGAGGTAATAGTGAGTGGTGCCACTCCCATTTCCATCCCTTGATCCTTAGATCTTTGATTCCTGGCTATTAGAGAAATAACATCATATACTGGATGCTGACTTGGAGCATATATACAGCCTTCTGGAGAACCTTGCCTCAGACCTGCAATGTATTGCCACCTAGCTGGCTATGTAACTGAGTCTTCAAATGGCCATTCCCCTGTTCGATCAAGCCAGCTGCTTTAGCATGGTCAGGAACATGGTACAACCAGTGAATTCCATGAGCATGCCACACTCCCTTTTCTGTGAAGTGAATTCCTTGATCAGAAGCAATGTCATGTGGCATAAGGCATTCCACAAGTCTACTGATGGTAGTTTAGCAGAAGCATTCCATACAAATAGCAAAACAGTTATTAGGCTACTGAAGTTGTCCAGGCAAGAGATGTTAGTGGTCTAGCATTAGATGAGTGGCCATCAGGCTCAAAATATATCTTAGAAGCAGAGACAATAAGATTTGCTGCTGGATTTGATGCAATATATGAAAGAATGAGAGTAGTTTAGAATAACCACAAGAATTCTGGCCTGAGAAACAGAGTGGGTGGAATGCTACTTACTGAGGTAGGGAAACATGGAAATGAGTTAGATTTTAAATTGTGATCTAATACCACAAACATTTAATTCCTAATAGTTTTATGGTATTTATTTATATTGAGTAGAGATACACTCACACAATTATTTTGTTCTGAACATCTTTTGCTTTTATTATTTAATATATTCTACTCAGTAAAATATAGAATAATCTTGTCAAGTTTTACTTAAGGGGAATAAAAACACGTTATTGAGGGCTTAATATTTAACAATTAGCTTATACATTAATTTTAGGAGAATTGACATTTACCCAGTATTCTCAGAAATAATTATGTTGTATAATTTCATTTACGGTATTTCACTGAATCTAAACCACCAGTCACCACCGATTGTAAAATATATCAGATTTTAATACAAATTATTAAAATGTGGAAAATTTTAATAAGAATTATCAAAATGTGGAAAAAAGAATTTTAGAACAGATGAAAAATGACAAATAAGATTGTTTACAATCACCATTAAAACTTTGTAATTTACTTCAAGCAGACATTTCCTTTTTAATGATGGGTTTATTCTTTTTTAAAATTCAAATTAAAAAAATTTTTGAGTACATAGTAGGTATATATATTTATGAATTACATAGGATATTTTGATATAGGCATGCAATGAGCAATAACCACATCATGGAAAATGGGGTATCTATCCCCTCAAGCATTTATACTTTGTGTCACAAACAGTTGAATTATACTTTTTTAGTTTTTTTATGTATAATTAAATTATTGACTATTGTCACCCTGTTGCGCTATCAAATACTAAGCCACATTCAGTGTTTCTATTTTTTTTGTACCATCTCCTCCTCCCCCATCATTACCTCACTACCTTAACCATCCTCTGGTAACCATCTTTCTATTTCCTGTCTCCATGAGTTCAATTGTTTTGATTTTTAGATCTCACAAATAAGTGAGAACATGTAATGCTTGTTTATCTGTGCCTGGCTTATTTCTCTTAACATAATGACCTCCAGTTCCATCCATATTGTTGCAAATGACAGGATCTCATACTTTTTATGGCTGAATAATACTCATTTTGAATAAGTACCACGTTTTATTTATTCGTCTGTTGGTGGATGCTTAGGTTGCTTGCAAATTTTGACTATTGTGAACAGAACTGTAACAAACATGGGTGTGCAGATGTCTCTTTAACATACTGATGTCTTTTATTTTGGGTGTATATCCAGCAGAGGTTGCTGGATTGTATGGCAGCTCTATTTCTTAGTTTTTTCAGGAATCTCCAAATTGTCTTCCATAATGGTTGGACTAATTTAAATTTCCACCAACAGTGCATGAAGGTACCCTTTCCTCCACATCCTCTCCAACATTTGGAATTGCCTGATTGCCTGTTGTTGTTGTTGTTGTTTGTTTGTGGGTTTTTTTTTTTTTTTTTTAAGATAAAAGCCATTTTAACTGAGGTGAGATGGTATCTCACTGTAGGTTTTGGTTTTTTTTGTTTGTTTGAGATAGAGTCTCACTCTCTTACCCAGGCTGGAGTGCAATGGCACAATCTCAGCTCACTCTGCCTCCTGGGCCCAAGTGATTCTCATGCCTCAGCCTCCTGAGTAGCTGGGATTACAGGCATGTGCCACTATGCCTGTCTAATTTTTGTATAATTTGAAGTCAGGTAATGTGGTTCCTCCAGGTTTGTTATTTTTGTTCAGGATGGCTTTGTCTATTCTGGATCTGTCGTGATTCCGAATAAATTTTATGATTTTTTTTTTGTTTTTTCTGAATACTTTCTCTGTGTTATCTTGAATTTCTTTGAGTTTCCTCCAAAACAGCTATTTTGAATTCTCTGAAAGGTCACATATCTCTATTTCTCCAGGATTGATTCCTGGTGCCTTATTAGTTCATTTGGTTAAGTCATGTTTTTCTGGATGATCTTGATGCTTGTAAATGTTCGTTGCTGTCTGGGCATTAAAGAGTTACGTATTTATTGTAGTTTTCACAGTCTGGACTTGCTTGTGTCTGTCCTTCTTGGGAAGCCTTTCCAGGGATTCAAAAGGACCTAGGCCTCAAGCCCAATAATGCTGTGGTCTTTGCAGATACCCTTGGTTGTCTTGGATAAGATCTGGAAGAATTCTCTGGGTTACCACGCAGAAACGCTTGTTTTTTACCTCACTTTCTTCCAAACAATGAAGTCTCTCACTCTCTCTCTTTGTCTGTGCAGAGGTGCCTGAACTGCGGGTATGATGATGCAAGCAACTCTGTGGCCACCACCATTGGGATTGCCCTGGGTCAGACCTGAAGCCAGTACAGCACTGGGTCTCACCCAAAGCCCACTGTAACAACTACCTGGCTACCACCTATGTTCACTCAAGGCCCTAAGGCTCTATGATCAGTAGGTGACAAAACCAGTCAGGTTTGTTTCTTTCTTTTCAGGGTGGCAAGTTCCTCTAGGCCCTGGCTGGATCTAAACATGCTGTCTGGGAGCCAGGGATTAAAGAAAAAAACTAATAAATTTAGCTGATATTCTATTCCACTGTGGCTAAGCTGGCACTCAGACTGTAATACAAAGTCCTCCCTGCCCTTCCCTCCCCTTTCCACAGGCAGAGGAACCTCCCTGTGGCCATCATCACCAACAACCCATGGAGGGTTCTGCCAGGCCACCACCAATGTTCACTTAAAGCCCAAGGGTCTTCAGTCAGCTTGTGAATGCTGCTAGGTCTGGGACTCTCCCTATAGGACAGTGGGCTCTCTCTGGCCCAGGGCAGGTCCAGAAATGCTGTCCAAGAGCTTAGGCCTGGACTAAGAATCCCCAAGGGCCTGCTTGTTTCTCTACCCCAATGTGGCTGAGCTGGTACCTTAGTACAACAGAAAGTCTGCTTTACTCTTTCCTCTGCTGTTCTCAAACTGGAGTCTTTCACCATAGTCACAATAGCTGAGACTGTGCTAGATCACACCTGAAGTCAGGATGTCTCAGAGTCCAATGCCCATGGTGTATTACCTGGGTATTGTTGCTGGCTATTTAGGACCAAAGAGTTCTTTAGCCAGAAGATGATGAATGTGGCCTGGACTGGGTCCTTTTCTTCAAGGCAGTGGATTCCCTTTTGGCCCAGGGTGTGTCTAGAAATGTCATCTGAGAGCTAGGGCCTGCAAGGGAGGCCTCATGGTTCTGCCTGGTGCCCTATCCTACTGTGGCTGAGCTGGCATTCAAGCTGTACAACAAAGTCCTCTTCACTCTTCACTCTCCTCTCCTTAAGCAGAAGGGAGGAGTCACTGTTGTTGCTGTGAGCTGCACTACCTGAGGTTGGGCAAGGAATGGCACAAGCACTCCCATAGCTGCCTAGCTGGTATCTCAGTAGTCATGTGCTACCTTGGTCCAGTGGCTCTGAGCCCAGTCCAATACTACTAGGACTTGCCTAGGAATTGCTGTCCCTGTGTCCTAGACTGCCTTTCATGTGTACCTAGGACCCTAGAGAACTTTGGCCTTCTGTGAGGGGGCTTGCCAAGAAACTCATGTTCCAACCACTGGGATGGGTGATTCTAGGGCTAGTCCAAATGTTCCCTCTCTGTGGGTGCAGGCTGAGCCCAGCATGCCTTTGCTCTCTGTTGTCACAGGGAAGCACCGAGTTCAATGTAAAATCCCCCAGTCACTGTACTCTCCCTCCCCAAGTGCCCAGATTCTGTCTCCACACCATGTAGCTGCTGCTGGGAAGGGAGGAGGGGTGGTGTCAGCAATTCAAGATTGTTTCTCCAATTCTCTTCAATGCCTCTTTCGGCAATATAAAGTGAAAACCAAGTACTGTCGGGAGAGGGGCTGGCATGATGGCCAAATAACAGCTGTGGTCTGCAGCTCCCGGTAAGACCAATGCAGAAGAAGTGTAATTTCTGCATTACTGACTGAGATACCTGGTTCATCATATTGGCATTGGTTAGACAGTGGGTGTAGCCCACGGAGGGTGAGCCAAAGCAGGCTGGGGTGTCGCCTCACCCAGGAAGTGCAAGGGGTTGGGGAACTCCTTCCCTTAGCCAGGGGAAGCCATAAGGGACGGTGCTATCCAGACCCAGATACTAAGCTTTTTCCATGGTCTTCACAACCCGCAGATCAGGAGATTCCCTCGGATGCCTCCACAACCAGGGCCCCGGGTTTCAAGCACAAAACTGGGCGACCGTTTGGGTAGACACTGAGCTAGCTGCAGGATTTTTTTCCTTGTACTCCATTGGTGCCTGGAATGCCAATGTGACAGAACCATTCACTCCCCTGGAAAGGGGGCTGAAACCAGGGAACCAAGTGGTCTTGCTCAGCAGCTCGCACCCCTATGGAGCCCAGCAAGCTAAGATCCACTGGCGGCAAAGCACTGTAGCCAGGCTGCCTCTCTAGATTCTCCTCTCTGGGCAGGGCATCTCTGAAAGAAAGGCAGCAGCCTCAGTCAGGGGCTTATAGATAAAACTCCCATCTCCCTGGGACAGAGCACCTGAGGGAAGGGGGCGGTTGTGAGCGCAGCTTCAGCAGACTTAAATGTTACTGCCTGGAGGCTCTGAAGAGAGTAGCCAATCTCCCAGCACAGGGCTCGAGCTCTGCTAAGGGAAAGACTACCTCCTCAAGTGGGTCCCTGACCCCCATGCCTCCTGACTGGGAAACATCTCACAGCAGGGATTGACAGACACCCCATACAGGAGAGCTCTGGCTGGCATCTGGCAGGTACCCCTCTGGGATGAAGCTTCCAGAGGAAGGAGCAGGCAGCAATCTTTGCTCTTCTGTAGCATCTGCTGGTGATACTCTGGCAAACAGGGTCAGGAGTGGACCTCCAGCAAACTCCAGCAGACCTGCAGAAGAAGGGCCTGACTGTTAGAAGGAAAACTAACAAACAGAAAGCAATAGCATCAACATCAACACAAAGGATGCCCATGCAAAAACCCCATGCAAAGGTCATCAACATCCAAGACCAAAGGTAGATAAATCCATGAAGATAGGGAAAAACTAGCACAAAAAGCCTGAAAATTCCAAAAACCAGAATGTGTCTTCTCCTCCAAAGGATCAGAACTCCTGGCCAGCGAAGGAACAAAACTGGATGGAGAATGAGTTAGACGAATTGAAAGAAGTAGGCTTCAGAAGGTGGGTACTAACAAACTCTCCCAAGCTAAACAGCATGTTCTAACCCAATGCAAGGAAGCTAAGAACTTTTATTGGAACTGCTAACTAGAATAACCAGTTTAGCAAAGAACATAAATGACCTGATGGAGCTGAAAAACACAGCATGAGAACTTCGTGAAGCCTACACAAGTATCAATAGTCGAATTGATCAAGCAGAAGAAAGGATATCAGAGACTTAATGAAACAAAGCGTGAAGACAAGATTAGAAGAAAAAGAATGAAAAGGAATGAAAAAAGCCTCCAAGAAATATGGGACTATGTGAAAAGACCAAACCCACATTTGATTAGTGTATCTGAAAGTTACAAGGAGAATGGAACCAAGTTGGAAAACACACTTCAGCGTATTATCCAGGAGAACTTCCCCAACCTAGCAAGACAGGCCAACCTTCAAATGCAGGAAATTCAGAGAACACCACAAAGATACTCCTTGAGAAGAGCAACCTTAAGACACATAATCATCAGATTCACCAAGGTTGAAATGAAGGAAAAAATGTTAAGGGCAGCCAGAGAGAAAGCCCAGATTACCCAGAAAGGGAAGCCCATTAGACTAACAGTGAATCTCTTTGCAGAAACCCTACAAGCCAGAAAAGAGTGGGGACCAGTATTCAACATTCTTAAAGAAAAGAATTTTCAACCCAGAATTTCATATCCAGCCAAACTAAGCTTCATAAACGAAGCATAAATAAAGTCCTTTACAGACAAGAAGATGCTGAGGGATTTTGTCACCACCAGGCCTGGCTTACAAGAGCTCCTGAAGAAAGCACTAAATATGGAAAGGAAAAACCAATAGCAGCCACTGCAAAAACATACCAAAATGTAAAGACCATCAACCCTATGAAGAAACTGCACCAACTAATGTGCAAAATAACTAGGTAGCATCATAATGACAGGATCAAATTCAAACATAACAATATTAATTTTAAATGTAAATGGGCTAAATGCTTCAATTAAAAGACACAGACTGGCAAATTGGACCAAGAGTCAAGAGGCTTCGTGTGCTGTATTCAGGAGACCCACCTCACGTACAGAGACACACCTAGGCTCAAAATAAAGGGATGAAGGAATATCTACCAAGTAAATGGAAAGAAAAAAAAAAAGCAGGGGTTGCAATCCTAGTCTCTGAGTAAACAGACTTTAAACCAACAAAGATCAAAAAAGACAAAGAAGGGCATTACATAATGGTAAAGGGATCAATGCAACGAGAACAGCTAACAATCCTAAATATATATATGGACCCAATACAGGAGCACCGAGATTCATAAAGCAAGTTCTTAGAGACCGAAAAAGAGACTTAGACTCCCACACAATAATAGTGGGAGACTTAAACATCCCACTGTCAATATTAGACAGATCAACAAGACAGAAAATAGACAAAGATATTCAGAACTTGAACTCAGCTTTGGACCAAGCATACCTAATAGACAACTACAGAACTCTCCACCCCAAATCAACAGAATATACATTCTTCTTAGCACCATATGCACTTATTCTAAAATTGATCAAATAATTTGAGGTAAAACACTCCTCAGCAAATGCAAAAGAATGGAAGTCATAACAAACAATCTCTTAGACCACAATGCAATCAAATTAGAACTCAGGATTAAGAAATTCACTCAACATCGTACAACTACATGGAAACTGAACAACCTGCTCCTGAAAGAGTACTGGGTATATAATGAAATGAAGTCAAAATAAATAAGTTCTTTGAAACCAATGAGAACAAAGACACAACATACCAGAATCTCTGGGACACAGCTAAAGCAGGGCTTAGTAGGAATTTATAGCACTAAATGCCCACATCAGAAAGCTAGAAAGATCTAAAATCAACACCCTAAAATCACAGTTAAAAGAACTAGAAAACAAAAAGCAAACAGATTCAAAAGCTAGCAGAAGACAAGAAATAACTAATATTAGAGCAGAATTGAAGGAGATAGAGACATGAAAAACCATTAAAAAAATGAATCCAGGAGCTGGTGTTTTGAAAAGATTAACAAAATAGATATACTGCTAGCCAGACTAATAAAGAAGAAAAGAGAGGAGAATCAAATAGACACAATAAAAAATGGTAAAGGGGATATCACCATAGATCCCACAGAAATACAAACTGACATCGGAGAATACTATAAATACCTCTACACAAATAAAATAGAAAATCTAGAAGAAATGGATAAATTCCTGAACACATACACCCTCCCAAGACTAAACCAGAAAGAAGTCTAATCCCTGATTAGACCAATAGCAAGTTCTGAAATTGAGGCAGTAATTAATAGGCTACCAACCAAAAAAAGCCCATTACCAGACAGATTCGCAGCTGAATTCTACCACAGGTACAAAGAGGAGCTGGTACGATTCCTTCTGAAACTATTCCAAACAATAGAAAAAGAGGGAATCCTCCCTAACTCATTTTATGAGACCATCATCATACTGATACCAAAACCTGGCAGAGACACAACAAAAAGAAAAAAGAAAATTTCAGGCCAACATCCATGATGAACATCGATATGAAAATCCTCAATAAAATACTGGCAAACCGAATCCAGCAGCACATCAAAAAGCTTATGCACCACGATCAAGTTGGCTTCATTCTGGGATGCAAGGCTGGTTCAACATATGCAAATCAATAAATATAATTCATTACATAAATGAAACCAATGACAATAACCACATGATTATCTCAATAGATGCAGAAAAGGCCTTTGATAAAATTCAACACCCCTTCATGCTAAAAACACTCAATGAAGTAGGTACTGATGGAACATATCTCAAAATAATGAGAGCTATTTATGACAACCCCACAGCTAATATCATCCTGGATGGGCAAAAGCTAGACGCATTCCCTTTGAAAACCGGCACAAGACAAGGATGTCCTCTCTTACCACTCCTATTCAACATAGCATTGGAAGTTTTGACCAGGGCAATCAGGCAAGAGAAAGAAATAAAGGGTATTCAAATAGGAAAAGGGAAAGTCAAATTGTCTCTGTTTGCAGATGCCATGATTGTATATTTAGAAAACCCCATCATCTCACCCCAAAACTCCTTAACCTAATAAGCAAATTCAGCAAAGTCTCAGGATAAATTACAGGCATTTTTACACACCAATAATAGACAGAGAACCAAATCATGAGTGAACTCCCATTCACAATTGCTACAAAGAGAATCAAATACTTAGGAATACAGCTTGCAAAGTATGTGAAGGACCTCCTCAAGGAGAAATACAAATCACTGCTCAAGGAAATAAGAAAGGACACAAATAGAAAATCATTCCATGCTCATGGATAGGAAGAGTCAATATTGTGAAAATGGCCATACTGCCCAAAGTATTTTATAGGTTCAGTGCTATTCTCATCAAGCTATTGTTGACTTTCTTCACAGAATTAGAAAAAAAAAAACTACTTTAAATTTCGTATGGAACCAAAAAAGGGCCCATATAGCCAAGACAATCCTAAGCAGAAAGAACAAAGCTGGAAGCATCACACTACCTGAATTCAAACTATACTACAAGCCTACCGTAACCAAAACAGCAGGGTGCTGGTACCAAAACAGATATATAGACCAATGGAACAGAACAGAGACCTCAGAATTAACACCACACATCTACAACCATCTGATCTTTGACAAATCTGACAAAAACAAGCAATGGTAAAAGAATTCCCTTTTTAATAAATGCTATTGGGAAAACTGGCTAGCCATATGCAGAAAACTTAAAATGGAGCCCTTCTTACACCTTATACAAAAATTAACTCAAGGTGGATTAAAGACTTAAATTTAAGACCTAAAACTGTAAAAACCCTGAAGAAAACCTAGGCAATACCATTCAGAACATAGGCATGTTAATACACTTCATGACTAAAATAGCAAAAGCAATGGCAACAAAAGCCAAAAGTGACAAATGGGATCTAATTAAACTAAAGAGCTTCTGCAAAGCAAAAGAGACTATAATCAGAGTGAACAGGCAACCTACAGAATGGGAGAAAATTTTTGCAATCTATCCATCTGACAAAGGGCTAATATCCAGAATCTACAAGGAACATAAACAAATTTACAAGAAAAATACAAACAACCCGAACAAAAAGTGGGCAAAGGATATGAATAGACACTTCTCAAAAGAAGACATTTATGTGGCCAAGAAACATATGAAAAAAAGCTCATCATCACTGGTCATTAGAAAAATGCATATCAAAGCCACAATGAGATACCATCTCATGCCAGTTAGAATGGTGATCATTAAAAACTCAGAAAACAACAGATGCTGGAGAGGGTGTGGAGAAGTAGGAACACTTTTACAGTGTTGGTGGGAGTGTAAATTAGTTTAACCATTGTGGAAGACAGTATGGTGATTCCTCAAGGATCTAGAACCAGAAATACCATTTGACCCAGCAATCTCATTACTGTGTATATACCCAGAGGATTATAAATCATTCTACTATAAAGACACATGCACACATATATTTATTGCGGCACTATTCACAATAGCGAAGACTTGGAATCAACCCAAATGTCCATCAAAGATAGACTGAATAAAGAAAATGTGGCACATATATACCATGGAATAGTATGCAGTCATAAAGAAGGATGAGTTCATGTCCTTTGCAGGGACATGGATGAAGCTGGAAACTATTATTCTCAGCAAACTAACACAGAAACAGAAAACCAAACACCCCATGCTCTCACTCAAAAGTGGGAGTTGAACAATGAGAACATATGGACACAGGAAGGGGAACATCACACACCGGGGCCTGTTGGTTGGTCGGGGCCAAGGGGAGGGATAGCATGAGGAGAAATACCTAATGTATATGATGCGTTGATGGGTGCAGCAAACCACCATGGCACATGTATACCTATGTAACAAAACTGCACATTCTGCACGTGCATGTATCCCAGAAGTTAAAGTGTAATAAAAAATAAATAAAATTTGTTTAAAAAAGAGTGAGTGATGCATGTAGGAGAATGAAACTTGATCCTCCTCATCTGTCATCTTATACAAAAATCAACTCAAGATGGATTAAGGGCTTAAACCTAAGACCTGAAGCTATAAAAATTCTAGAAGATAACACTGGAAAGGCACTTCTAGACGTCAGCTTAGGCAAGGATTTCATGACCAAAAACCCAAAAGCAATTGCAATAAAAACAAAGATAAATAACTGAGACCTAATTAAACTCAAGAGCTTTTGCATGGCAAAAGGAACAGTCAGCAGAGTAAACAGACAACCCATAGAGTGGGAGAAAATCTTCACAATCTATACATCTGGCAAAGGACTAATATCCAGAACCTATGATGAACTCAAACAAATCAGTAAGAAAAAAAAAATCAATACCATCAAAAAGTGAGCTAAAGACATGAATAGACAATTCTCTAAAGAAGATTTACAAATGGCCGACAAGCATATGAAACAATGTTCAACATCCCACTAATGATCAGGGAGAGGCAAATCAAAACCACAATGTGATAACACCTTACTACTATAAGAATGGCCATAGCCAAAGAATAAAAAAAAAAGTGAATGTTGGCATGGATGTGGTGATCAGGTAACATTTCTACACTGCTGGTGGGAGTGTAAACTAGTACAGCTGCTATGGAAAACAGCGTGGAGATTCCTTAAAGAACTAAAAGTAGAACCACCCTTTGATCCAGCAATCCCACTACTGGGTGTCTACCCAGAGGAAAAGAAGTCATTATTCAAAAAAAAAAGATACTTGCACATGCATGTTTATAGCAGCACAATTCACAATAGCAAAGTGGTGGAACCAACCCAAATACCCATTAATTAATGAGTAGATAAAGAAACTCTGGTAGATGATAGATAGATAGATAGATAGATAGATAGATAGATAGATAGATAGACGGAATACTACTCAGCCATAAAAAGGGTGAATTAATGGCATTTGCAATGACCTGGATGAGATTAGAGACTATTATTCTAAGTGAAGTAACTCAGGAATAGAAAACCAAACATCGTATGTTCTCACTGATATATGTGAGATAAGCTATGAGGACACAAAGGCATAAGAATGACACAGTGAACTTTGGGGAGCTGGGGGAAATATTGGGAGGGGAGTGAGGGATAAAAGACAACAAATATGGGACAGTGTATACTGCTTGGGTGATGGGTGCACAAAGTTCTCATAAATCTCCACTAAAGAACATACTCAGGTAACCAAATACCACCTGTACCCCAATAACTCCTGGAAAAATAAAATTTTTTTAAAAAAGAAAAAAACCCAAAGAACCAAGTACTGTCATTACTCACCTGATTTTTAGTTCTTGGGATGATTCTTTTCTGTGTGCAGATAGTTATTAATATTTGGTGTTCCTTCAGGGAGAGCAAAAGGTGTAGGCTTCTATTGAGCCATCTTGCTCAATTGTATCAATGGGTTTATTGTGAAACATTTAACAGGTACTTTTGCTGTGGTGAACTGAATCTCATTCCTTCCTTCCTTCATCCTTCCCTTTCTCTGTTCCTTCTTTCATCCCACCTCACTTTATTTTTTGCTTCCCTTTTTAAACATTTTGGTACTAATCATTGTATTTTCTTGTTCCTCATTGATAATCTACAGGAAACCTATTGATTTATGTATTTTATAAATTTCTGGCCACAAAACATTTTTTCCAATTTTTAATTAATCTCTTGACTTTTCCAGGCAACTAATGAAAAATACTTCAAATACTGTGTGCTTATTCTCTTTCTTTAAAATATTAATAAATCTTATTTTTAAAATTATCTTATTGCATCAAGCATGGCTAAATATTATTAGTGCTAGTAGTCATTTTGTTCAATTTCAGACATTAATGGGGTTGTTTCAAATGTTTTACTCTTACATTTTCTTTTTGTTGCATATTACTGGTGGATACCTTTTATAAAATTAAGATAGTAGTTTCGGTCCCAAGCTTGATAAGAATTTGTGATTTCTTAGCCATTTTACTTTAAAATCAGGGATCTGTGTTAAATTTAACAGAAGCTATTATAGAGAATCTAGTAAGATAGTTATCCGAGAGTTTATTACTATGTTAATATTATTTAGCTAATATATTTGCTGATTTAAACAACTCATGCATTTCTGTAATACATCCTACTTGGTTATAATATATACTTAAATCACTGTTATATTAAATTAGCCTACATTTTATTCATAACTTATTCATTGTTTTATAAAATCTTGATTTTCTTCCACTGTCCTTTTCCTGGAAAATAATATATTTTTCATTTATCTGAGTGGGTTTTTATAATACAGAAAATTTTAAAGACAAAATGAAAAGAAATCACTTGGAACTATGCCTAGGATTAGTATGTTTTTAGGGATATGTCCTTAATTCCTGATATTTTCTTCTAAGGTAACTGGACCATAGATGTTACACTTCCATTTCCAATTAATTTTGCAAATTACTATTTTTGAAAAAAATCCATTTCACTTAGCACATAAACTTTTATTGGTGTAAAGGTTTATTCATTGATATTAATATCTTTAAATATCTCCTGCATTGTATAGTTACATTCCTTTTATTAAATGTTCTTTTAAATATAACTTTTAAATAAAAAATTTTTTAAAAATCACTAATCAATGTTTTATCTATTTCATTGACATAAAGTGACTGATATTGATTTTATTTTAGCAACTATATTGGTTTTTGTGTTTATTTTATAGAAACAATTTATTGTGTTTATTATTTCATCAACTCAATCTTTGACCATATATGTTTTCACTTTATCTTCCTGGAATAAATGCTTACTTCACTCATTTTTATTCTTACTTGTTTTTTAATGAAAATACTAATAAACATTATTTTTGTTTTGAATACTTAGGAGAGTACCCCATTTATAACATTATTATTTTTATTAAAAATTAATCTAATTACAAAAAATGTGCCATCTGTGTAAACGTCTCTCCTCACCATTTTTCTAGTCTTATGATTTCAACTTTTTAATTTTTTTGTAAAATTTTATCTTTTTAAGTCAGTACATAGTTGGAACACTGGTTTGATTTTTTTATTTTGCAAAATTTTTGAGGGAAATTATATAAATCATATTTATTATGATTAATAATATTCTAATAAATTTTATTTTTAAGTTTTCTATTGAATATTCTTTTATTTTTTCTTTTACCTTTTTTTGCATTTTATTAATCCAATACTTTTGTTGTAGATGTTTGACAATTTTACGTCTTCGTTCAACTTTAGTATTTACAATTAAATTTATATTTTGCAAATTTAAATTTATAATAACGTTTTATTCATATTCTTCCCTCAAAAGCAAATGAAGAACAACAAACTAGTACATTTATGCTTTTCTATGTTACATCTCTTGTATCATAAATTATCTTATATATTTTTAGTTTTTAGTTATTTAAAAAATATTGCTGAACAATTCTTCTTTAGATTTAAATGTAGCTTTAAACTTTTTTTTATCACAATTTTCCAGTGTACTTTGCCTTCTTTTTCTCTTGAATGCCTCATTTTTTCCTTATAGGACAAATTTCTGTAATTATTTAAAATAAAGTCTTGGTGATAAATACTCTGAATCCTTACGTATTTGAAATACCTACAATTTGCTATCATACCTGAATGCTAGTTTGTCTGGCTATGAAATTGTGGGTTCAAACTTCTTTTCATTTTGCACTTTGAAAGTGTTTATCTAGTACATTCTACAGCATAATATATGCAATAAGAATTTAAAAACACATTTACAAATATTTACTCAGTCCTACTCATTCTCATTCTACAGTTCTCTGTCTCTGTCTCTCATTTGTCTCTAAGAATTTGAAATTTTCTCAAGATCCATGGGTCTTTTTATCACATTCACGTTCATTCTACTCTACTGAGTACAGCAAGGCAGAACTAGTTGGCACTACACTTCTTCTCGCCATTGGTGTCAGATGGCTGTAGCAGAAATCTGAGCCTCTATCTCCATGCTACAACACCAAAGCAGTATAAATCAGGCCTCCACGTTTACCCCTTTCTTTTCATAGGGAGGCCCGGTAGCAAGCTCACACCTTCACTCAAAAGCAAACAGATGGTGCAAAGTTGTACAAGCTGCTTCCCTGTTTTTGCTGGGAAAATGTTAGAAGGGCCAAGAGAGTAGCAAAACTTATGTTCTACTCCTCTGCAATGAGGCAGTGTGAATCAATGCCCCACTTTTAACTGGAGTGTTGTCAATGGCGCCCAGAGGAGGTGGCATATATACATACCACCAGCCCTCACGTTGAAGCTCAACAGTGAAACTTTGTACTAAAAAATAGATTAAATAGGATCCATAGCCCCATAATATGATCTAAAAAGTCTCTGAAATACAATAAAAACATCATTTGTTGTATTAAGAACAGGAAAGTTACAACATGAATGAAAAAAATTAATAAAGAAATGACCACACCAAGATGAATCAGATGTTGGAATTTTCTGACAGGGATTTTAAAGCAGCCATCATAAAAATGCTTTAAAACGCAATTGCAAGCCGGGCATGGTAGCTCACTTCCAGCACTTTGGGAGGCCGAGGCAGGCAGATCACGAGGTCAAGACATGGAGACCATCCTGGGCAACATGGTGAAACCCCGTCTCTACTAAAAATACAAAAATTAGCTGGGCATGGTGGTGCACGCCTGTAGCCCCAGCTACTCAGGAGGCTGAGGCAGGAGAATCGCTTGAACCTGGGAGGCGGAGGTTGCAGTGAGTTGAGATCATGCCACTGCACTCCAGTCTGGTGACAGAGCAAGACTCCGTCTGAAAAAATAAAATAAAATAAAGAATTAGAAAA